>NC_000001.11:236487151-236638667 GCF_000001405.40 Homo sapiens
AGGAGGGTGGAAGGGAAAACCCCTTTCTATACCTCTCCTCAGCCTGCTCTTTCCTCCTCCCACCTCTGAGCCTCCGCCTCCCCCAGACAGAGACAGAAAAGATGGAAGAACAGGTGGGACCTCCACCCCCACCCCAAGCCTTCATCCCGGTGGAGGGGGATGGGAAGATTTCTCTCATTTCAAGAGACTCCTCCACCTCAGACTGACAAAAGGCAGAGGCCTGGCAAGAAGAAAGGGCACCCTGGGGAAGAAGGGCATTGAAATAGCACCTGCCGGGCCGGGCACGGTGGCTCACGCCTGTAATCCCAACACTTTGGGAGGCCGAGGCGCGTGGATCACGGGGTCAGGAGTTCAAGACCAGCCTGGCCAAGATGGTGAAACCCCGTCTCTACTAAAAATACAAAAAGTAGCCAGGCGTGGTAGCGGGTGCCTGTAGTCCCAGCTACTCCGGAGGCTGAGACAGGGAACTGCTTGAACTGGGAAGGTGGAGGTTGCAGTGAGCCAAGATCGTGCCATGCACTCCAGCCTGGGCGACAGAGTGAGACTCCATCTCAAAAAACCAAAACAGAAATAGCACCTGCCCCCACCCCCTGCCCGCCCTCCTTCCCGCCCCCGTCCTTTCCTAGACTTCACTCAAGTCCTCTGCTCAGAGGAAGCCCTGCTCTACTGAAAGCCACAAGGCCATTCTCGGTGGCCTGGGACAGCAGCCCAAGACGTGGGCTTCTAACTGCCTCCGAAGGGGCCACAGCAGCAAACATAAATAAAAATAGTAAAATGTTCTTAAATTATAAATTTAAAATTTGGAAAATTTAGTGAGCACAGCTTCTAGGGGGCATGTTTCCAAAATTCCAACCACAAAAGTGCAGTCTCAAAACTGACTGTAAACCGAACATACCATCTCATCTCAGACACAGCTATTGTTCACGAGTGTCAGTGGAACTTTCCTCCCTTGAGATGGACCAAAAACGTCAAGCAAGATGACATTTGCTGATTTGCAGGCTTCAGGCAGATAAGATACGGGCAGAGTTGAGTGTGCGCCTTTACCCTTAAATTCAGGAATAGCAGGAACAGCAGGAAAAACGTAGGACCACAGCGTACGTCCCACTTGTCTTTCATTTTGATATCATTATTTCCAGAGTCCTGATTGCTAGTCATGTCTAACACTGGATTTATTATCATCTCATTGCTAGCATGGCTAGGAAAGCTTTGAACATCCTTATCATTCTATTTTAATTCCTATTATAATTGCATGGGGAAGTTCCAGGGTGGAAAAATTTCCTTTTCTTTCTTTTTTTTTTTTTAATAGGAGAGTTGGCTGGGCACGGTGGCTCACGCCTGTGATCCCAACACTTTGGGAGGCCAAGGCGGGTGGATCACCTGAGGTCAGGAGTTCGAGACCAACCTGGCCAACATAGTGAAAACCTATCTCTACTAAAAATACAAAGTTAGCTGGGTATGGTGGTGCACACCTATAGTCCCAGCTACTGGGGAGGCTGAGACAGGAGAATCACTTGAATACGGGAGGCAGCAGTGAGCCAAGATCATGCCACTGCACTCCAACCTGGGAGAGACAGAGTGCCATCTCAAAAAAAACAAACAAAAGAGTTGATATAAATTTGCTGTTATAATTTGACTGTACTGTTTCTTGCACATGTTGACATCTGTAATGACTGGAGTTTATGAAAATTTTTGATGAGTAGGAGCATACCATTAACAGAGAGAAATTTAATCAAAAGATTTTTAAAGTTCCTTCAGAGTCCAGACTTTGACTAAGTGTAGTATGATTTATATCTATGTTGCATACAAAAATATCAAACAGTAATTCCCAACTGAAATACAAGTATCAATCAATTGTGTAACAATGCAAAATCATTTAATTTAAAGTTAATTTATAGCAAATGAGTACTGTAATAGCATAAGCATGCCGATACTTTACAAAGGAGAGAGTGGAAAGGTAGGATATTATAACTAATTGATCAAATCATTGTTAAAATTTAAGTTTATTAATACTTTTACTTCTGTCCGTAGGGATCCATGTTAAATTGGGTATATTATAAACTTAACTGCTAATGATGAGGTCCTTTTGCTATTAGAAATCTATTTTTTATTTTTCTTTATTATTTTTTGAGGCAGGGTCTTGCTCTGTTGCCCAGGCTGGAGTGCAGTGGTGAAATTATAGCTCACTGCAGCCTCAACCTCCTGGGCTCAAGGAATCCTCCTGCCTCAGCCTCCCAAGTAATGGAAACTGCAGTCGTATACAAGCACACCCAGCAATTTTTTTTTTTTTTTTTGGTAGAGATGGGGTTTAGCTATGCTGTCCAAGCTGGTCTCAAACTCCTGGCCTCAAGTGATCCTCCCACCTTAGCCTCCAAAGTGCTGGGATTACAGGCGGGAGCCACCATTCCCAGCCTAGAATGAAATATCTTTAGCTAAATTACAGGGCTGGATGTGGTGGCTCATGCCTGTAATCCCAGCACTTTGGGAGACTGAGGGCGGGAGGGTCACTTGAGATCAGGAGTTTGAGACCACCCTGGGCAACACAGTGAGAATTCTGTCTCTATTTTAAAAAGAGAAAAATCTAGGGTATATTCTCTTAAACAAAACTTTCATCTATAATGGTAGTTGATGAGGTCCTATGTAATATGCATTTCCTTGGTTGCAATAGCAAATTACTACACACACAGAAAGGAAAGCCACACTCCCCGACACATCTACACACAGGAGGACTCACACAGGAGGGAGACTCAAAGAAGGCACGTGACTTTTACATTGTTAGGGCTTACATGGTCCTGGGATTTCCCACCAGTACTCAAAAGATCAATTGTATGAACAAGTCACCTATTTTTACGGCACTAAATAATTATTATTCAACAACATGGAAAATATGTGGTAGCAGACCTGGATTTTCCTTAAGAGTTATTTTTATGTGGTACTGCCCCCTGCTGGAATATAACATCTATACACATCCTTTCTGGCTGGGCTGACATCCTAAAACCAGCCCAGGACCAGCCTTTTATTAATATTAATTCTTGGCCAGGCGCGGTGGCTCGCCTGTAATCCCAGTACTTTGGGAGTCCAGGGCGGGCGGATCACGAGGTCAGGAGTTCAAGACCAGCCTGGCCAACATGGTGAAACTCCGGCTCTACTAAAAATACAAAACTTAGCTGGGCATAGTGGCACATTCCTGTAATCCCAGTTACTCGAGAGGCTGAGGCAGGAGAATTGCCTGAACCGGGACCCGGGAGGTGGAGGTTGCGGTGAGCCGAAATCGTGCCACTGCACTCCAGCCTGGGCTACAGAGCGAGACTCCGTCTCAAAAATAAATAAATAAAAATTAAAATTAAAAAATAATTCTTGGTTGTATGCTAAAAGCCTTGCAAGTAGCCCCACTGGAAGATAGGAAGAGTGGGGCTGTTTTACAAATGAGCACATATAAGCAGAACGAGGCCGCCATAATTGAAATGAAGGTCCCCGTCCCGTGGATGTGTTCATCGCTACTTCACCCTGTCATTCGGATCCAATGTGTGACCAGCCAGCTCCAATAACAGTTCCATACTCTGGGAATTATTTTTAACACTCGGCAGGATGCTTTCTTCCTGTAGTTTTAGGCTTAGCCCTTTGTGCACTTTTGGTCTCTTTCCCTTTCAATTTAGCATCCAAGGAAGCGGCTGTGACCAAAGGTAGCTGTCATGTTAAAGGACAAAGTTCATAGTTACAGCAAATATTGACCCAGAGCACTATCCTTGCCCCTTCCTCTATAATGTGCAATGCAAAAATATGTTCTTTTAAGTACAATATTAATAAGTAAGGTCTAGGAGATTTTCTTCCCCCTTCCTTTCTCTTTTAGATGAGTAAATGTTTTATCTAGTTTTGAGGAGACTATCCTTCTTATCACATCTCTTTCCACTTCTGCTCTCCTTGTTTTATAATTTTCCTCTCCTTTGGGTCCGTGTCATTATTTCGTGTCGCTTGTTTTCGAGCCATGCACTCATTTATCAAATCAGATTTCCTCCGTATGCCGACGGCCTTCCTCTCCCTGCCACGGGCTTCCTTTTTCCCTGACTATGCAGAAGCAATTTGTTCGCTTGTGTTTCTTTTTTTTTTTGAGACAGAGTCTCGCTCTGTCACCCAGGCTGGAGTGCAGTGGCGACATCTCGGCTCACTGCAACCTCCGCCTGTCAGGTTCAAGCAATTCTCATGCGTCAGCCTCCAGAGTAGCTGGGATTACAGGTGTTTGCCACCAAGGCTGGCTAATTTTTAGTAGAGACGGGGTTTCACCATGTTGGCCAGGCTTGTCTCGAACTCCCAACATCAGTTGATCCACCCATCTCGGCCTTCCAAAATGCTGGGATTATAGGCATGAACCACCGCATCTGGCCTTGTCTTTCATCCTTAATGACACTTTAGTCCTAATAATGCTAAAATCATTTTCTACTCTTTGAATTGAAACACAGCTTATCTACATGAGCCCAAGGCAGTAGCAACATTCACCTCCATTTCTTCTCTGATCTCTACCTTCTGAACCCTGTGGACTTGGTTGTAAATGGATGAGGGCAAGTCTTGCTTCCTTCCCCTGTGTTTACAGAGGATCGTGGCTGAGATGCTGGGCCACACTCTGGGCCTGCTGGCACCCCTGGGCCGGTGGCTGCTGCCCCTCAGGGTGCTCACCACCTAGACCAGAAGAACCAAGGTGAGGGAGAGCCTGTTTTCTTTCTTCCTGTGGCTGCGGGGGCTGTGAGGCATGGGTCTAGTGGCTGTGTTTAGCTGGGGATGCCTCCTAGAAATCAGCTCCACCGTTGAAGAGATCAAAGCAATGCACAGTGCCACTTGAAATGAAACGATTGAGCTTATCAGCGCTTTTGCAAATGTACAAGAGGGTAGCTCCCCCGGACATCCTGAACTGAGCCATGCTCTTCTATTTTGTGTAACAGCCCAGTGACCCCTGAATCTTCCCCTGAGGCAGGTCCCCGAAGCTTCATGGAGGATGTTCCTCAGCTGACCAAGGTGAGGCTCTTGAGCTCCTAAATCTTTGTGATACTGTTTATACATCTTTGTGCTGTACTTTTTAAGCTGACTTCGTGTTATCACCTGTATGATTTTATGTTTTGCTTCTAAATAAGTACAGATTATTTTAAACTCTAATAATGGGTGCTACAAAATTAAAGATTATGTCAATCACTGTCTCTGATGAGTTATTTTATGTAGATTTCAACACAATCATTGATTCATGTGTACTCTTGGTCAGTCATCAGTCATCTGAGTACCTAGTGGGTTTCCAAAATGGGTCCTGGATGCTGGGGATGCAAAGATAAGCAACACATTTCTATCCTCAACAGCCTGTAGATGAGGGAGAATCACTGCGGACAATCAGGGAAGTTACCGGAGAGAGCAGTGCACATGTGGTCTAGAAACTGGTGGAACAAAGTTGAGAATCACTGAACTAGGAGGAAAGACAGGTCACTGACAATCCAAGGCACAGTGACTCACACTCTAATCTCAGCACTTTGGGAGGCCAAGGCAGGAAGATCCACTGAGCTCAGGAGATAAAGACCAGCCTGGCTGACCTATGGAGACCCTTCTCTACCAAAAAAAAAAAAAAAAAAAAAAACATTAGCCTGGCATGGTGGGGTGTGCCTGTGGTACCAGCTATTCAGGAGGCTGAAGTGGGAGGATCGCTTGAGCCCGGGAGGTCAAGACTGCAGTGAATCATGATCACACCATTGCACTCCAGCCTAGGGAAGAGAGCAAGAAAGACCCTGTCTCAAAAACAGAAAAAAATCCAGTAAAATGTTTCAGATGTTGTTAAAGGTGATTTCACTGTTACTTTTCACCTCTCCTCATTTTACATCTCTGACCTATGCTTGTCCTCTGACTTGCCAGACATTCCTAGCTATGGACTTGATGTCTCGACATGGAGGCTCACAGGCACCCCAAACTCAGCCTGCCCTAAGCTGAACCCATGATCTTTCCTTCCAAACTTGTTTCTCACCAGAGTTCCCATCTTATCATCCACCTAGTTGTTCAAGTCATCCTTAAGACCTCCCTCTCCTTCACTGTCTATTCTACCTCCCTAATATCTCTTAAATCCTTCCCTCCTCTCCCACCTCACAGCCACCATCCTAACCTAAGCAGCCACCCTTTCTCACCCTATAATGACCTCCTGGCTGTTCTCTATAGAGTTGGTGAATCCTTTCGTCTTCAGCCTGAACCCCCTTTCGAGGGATTCTTATATATATACATAGATATACACAAATATATATGTACATATGTACATATGTGTGTATATATGTACATATGTGTATGGATATACATATGTACATATGTGGATGTACATATGTACATGTGTATGGGTGTACATATGTACATGTGTATGGGTGTACATATGTACATATGTGTATGGGTGTACATATGTACATATGTATATGGGTGTACATATGTACATGTGTGTATGGGTGTACATATGTACATGTGTGTATGGGTGTACATATGTACATGTGTGTATATATGTACATGTGTGTATGTACGCATGTACATATGTGCATGTATGTGCATGTGTATGTGTGTGTATGTACACGTGTGCATATGTGTGTATATGTGTACACGTGTACGTGTGTATATATATATATATATATATACTGGCTGGAGTGCAGTGGGAAAGTTTTGGCTCACCACAAACTCCACCTCCCAGGTTCAAGTGATTCTCCTGCCTCAGTCTCCTGAGTAGCTGGGATTACAGGCGTGCACCACCATGCCCAGCTAATTTTTGTATTTTTAGTAGAGACGGGGTTTCACCATGTTGGCCAGGCTGGTCTTGAACTCCTGACCTCAGGTGATCCACCCACCTCGGCCTCCCAAAGTGCTGGGATTACAGGCGTGAGCCACCGTGCCTGGCCGGATTCCTATCTTGAAGACGAAGCCCCAGACCATCGACACGGCCTCAAGGCCCTGCATGACGCCTCCTGCCCCAACACCTCGTGTCATCTTGCTCTCCTCTCCCGCAGCTCCTGAGGCTTTAGCCACCCTGGAATTCCAAGTCCCCATGGTCATTTTTTTTTCCTGCTCAAGATATCACCATGTGCTGTCCCCTCTGCCCTTGTCTACACCCACGTGTCCTTCTCCCGCCCCGGCCACACTCATGGGGCACACTGTCCTTCCCTGGCTAATCCTCCCACACTCGATACCACTTTCTCTGGGATATTGCACCCGATCTTCAGCCGCAGTTGTCTTCCTATGACCCACTCCCACAGCTCTCGCCACAATGGTAATTGTTTGATTCCTACTTGTTGTCCCTGTGAGACTGCAAACCCCAGAGGACAGGGGCCCTGGGTTCTCCTTCGCCTCTGGATCATCAGCACTAACTGAATACCTGGCCTAGAAGAGATGCTAACGATGCTGAATGAATAAATAAGTGGAAAGACTCTCAGTAAAGCAAAACCTTTCTTTACCATTTTATGGCCGTCAAGGAGGAAAACACATTATCAGTGGAAAACGCAAAATGAGGGGATTTGCTTAGCAAACGATGAATTCCTCTGGCACCCTGGCAGCCTTGGTTTCTTTTGATGAGGTCCACCCCCTTCCATCCATCTTCTGGGCTTAAGAGATCAAAGCAAAACATGCTGTGGAATTCGATACTGGTGCAGGTTGCACAACATTGTGACTGAACTAAAAGCCACTGGATGGTACAACTGAAAATGGTGAATTGCGTGTTGCATGAATTATAACCTAACTGGGGAAAAAAAGGCTTAAAAAGAGACAAAGCTTCCCCCACAATGGAAAGGAAGGTATAATAGAAACAGCAGCTCTCAAACCTTGGCAGGATAATGAAACCCCGTTTCTATTTTTAAAAATTAGCTGGGTACAGTGGCACGTGCCTGTAGACCCAGCTACTCGGGAGGCTGAGGCTGGAAGATCGCTTGAGCCCAGGAGTTCAAGGCTGTGGTAAACTATAATCACACTACTGCACTCCAGCCTGGGTGACAGAGAAAGACCCTGTCTCAAAAAAGGAAGGAAAGAAGGAAGGAAGGAAGGAAGGAGGGAGGGAGGGAGGGAAGGAGGGAAGGAAGGAAGGAAGGAAGGAAATAGCAGCTCTGAGCTTAGAAATAGGAGTCTATTTCTAAGTGGGAGATGGGGAGAAGGAGGGAACTGGGGAGGTGAGGAAGAAGCAGGTATTGTCACCAGTGAGGACTGTGCTGTTGTGAGCCCAGCTAGGCAACTGGCAATTCCATTCTGTTAGTGACAGCTACAATAACCCAAAGCCCTCTGGAGCCCTGCTTTCCTCTGCTCTCTTCGTGGCTTGACTAGGAGCTGAAGATCCTGTACCTCTTAGAGCATCTGGGGCGCTGGGCCCTGCAGCAAATCCCATCCTCCACCCACCCCGCCTCCCTCCACCCTCCACCCACCCCACCTCCACCCTCCTCCACCTGCTGCCTCGAGGCCCCTCCCACTCCCGGGGTAGACAAAACAGTTTAGAGGCTGAAGTCACCGGGGCTGTAACTGTTGGATTTGCACATGTCATAGAAAATCATCATATGTTTTGTGTGGACTCCATGCATAACAACAAGAGAACCAACCAGACCCCATAGACAGAAGGGAGTGTGAATTGGAGACAAAATTTAAATTATGAGTTGCCTTCTATTCAGATTTCTCCCATTTTTAACAAAAAGGAGCCCAAATTCCTAAATGTTATGGTTGTTTGCAGCAACTTATCATCTTTCTCCTTTCCTTCATAGCCAAGGTTTTTGAAAGAGCTATCTGAGGCCGGGAATGGTGACTCACGCCTGTAATCCTAGCACAGAGGCTGAGGTGAGTGGATCACCTGAGGTCAGGAGTTCAAGACCACCCTGGCCAACATGGCGAAATCCCGTCTCTACTAAAAATACAAAAATTAGCCGGGCATGGTGGCGTGTGCCTGTAATCCCAGCTACTCAGGAGGCTGAGGCAGGAGAATCACTTGAACCCAGGAGGTGGAGGTTGCAGTGAGCCAAGATCTCACCACTGCACTCCAGCCTGGGCAACAGAGTGAGACTCCATCTAAAACAAAAAAAAAAGTAGCTGTCTGTTCTTTCTTCTCGAACTCTTTTTCCCGCTGGAGTCTGTGACCTGCTGCCGTCTGCCTCAAGTGAGAGGGACTAGCAGATCTGGTGAATTACCTTCTAATGCCCGTACCCTGCCCATACCAGCTTCAATCTGTATGTAGAAGCTTAGCTTGCTCCATGCATGGCCTCCAGCATCCACTGGTCACAAAATAACACAAAATAGCATGAGAGAGAATGGTCGCATGGAGCGGAGGAGCTGCTGAGACTGAACCCAAGCCAGGGCTACTGCTGGGTGGAACTGGACATGCCCAGCCCATGGGAAAGTCTTCCCACAGAAGTCATATTTGCAGGGGTCTCCCAGGAGACAGCACATTCTGAGCAAAGGAGTGAGGCAGAGATAACTATTCAGGAACCAAGAGACTCGCTGGAAAGAAGCAGAGATTTTCAGCCCAGCGTAGTGGATGTTTCTTGAATCTTCCCCTGTGGATGCCCCAAACCTTGAGATCCTTCCAACAAATAGCACACTACTAACAAACTGTGACTCAAAGAGAGGGAAACATGGTCCCCTGCTCTGTCACAAATCACTGTGAAGCTTTGGCACCCTGACTGCTCAGGTGGCCACCAACACAGAAGGACCACGAATGGCTGAGTCAGGAAGTCACAGCCGTGTGGCTGGAAGAGGCTCTGCCTTGCTCTGGGAGAAATGCCTATCCCCAAGGAAGCCTTAGTATCCATGGGAGAGAAACACTGTAGCAATGGCCCCCAGGACTCTCGGGAAGCCACTTCTGGTGGGAGGGGACTCAAAGGGTGCTGGGGGACCTGTGTCTGCATCTGGAAGTGAGGAGCCAGGAAAATTTTCTTTCAGTTTCTTTCTTTTTTCTTTTCTTTTTTTTTTTTTTTTTTTGAGAAAGGGCCTTGCCCTGTCGCTCAGGCTGAAACATAGTGGTGCGATCTCGGCTCACTGCAACCTCCACCTCCCAGGTTCGAGTGATTCTCCTGCCTCAGCCTCCCGAGTAGCTGGGACTACAGGCATGCACCCCCACCCACGCCCAGCTAATTTTTGTATTTTTGGTAGAGATGTGGTTTCGCCATGTTGGCCAGGCTGGTCTCGAACTCCTGGCCTCAAGTGATCCTCCCGATGTGCTGGGATTACAGGTGTGAGCCACCACGCCCGGCCTCTTTCTGCTTCATTTAACATTAATGGTCATCCCACAGCATGGTGCTGTGCACCTGTAGTCCCAGCTACTCAGGTGGCTGAGGTGGGAGAATCACTTGCGTTCCAGCTGTAGTGAGCCTTGATTGTGTCTGTGAATAAATGCCACTTCTCTCCAGCTTGAGCAACATAGGGAGACTGTCTCTTAAAAAACAAAACAAAACAGGCTGGGCTCGGTGGCCCACGCCTACAATCCCAGCACTTTGGGAGGCCAAGGCAAGAGGATTGCTTGAGCCCAGGAGGTCAAGAGCAGCCTGGGCAAAATAGGGAGACCCCATCTCTACAAAAAGATAAAAAATAAAAAAATTAACTGGGCATGGTGATACACCTGTAGTCCCAGCTACTCTGGAGGCTGAGATAGGAGTATTGCTTGAGCCTGGGAGGTCGAGGCTGCAGCGAGCCATGATCATGCCACTACACTCCAGTCCAGGCAGCAGAGTGAGATCCCGCCTCAAAAAAATAAAACAAAACAAAACTCATCTCTCCCTTGGCTCCTGAGACTACAATCCCTCACGGTTCTTTTCTACTTCTCTGTTTTTCTCTTCTTGTCTCCCTTTTTTTCTGGTCTCTCTGTCACCCAGGCTGGAGTGCAGTGGTGTGATCATAGCTCACTGCAACCTTGACCTCCTGGGTTCAAGAGATCCTCCCACCTCAGCCTCTCGAGTAGCTAGGACTACAGGCTCACACCACCATGCCTAGCTAATATTTGTAGATTTTGTAGAGATGGGGTCTTGCTATGCTGTCCAGGCTGGTCTCAAGCTCCTGGCCTCAAGTGATCCACCCACCTCAGCCACCCAACGTTCTGGGATTACAGGGGTGAGCCACCGCGCCCAGCCGATAATTGTTGAAAAATCATTTTCAGTTAAGGTATCCAGTCAAGGTCAGAAAATGAGAAAATGTTAAAAAAAAAAAAGCTATAAGTAAAACAGATTCAGTCGGGACATGATGGTTCACGCCTGCAATCCCAGCACTTTGGGAGGTTGAGGTAGGATAATCACTTGAGCCCAGGAGTTCGAGACCAGCCTGGGCAACATAGCGAGACCTTATCCATACAAAAAAATTTAAAAAATACCCAGGCATGGTGGCATACTCCTGCATTCCCTGCTACTTGGATGGCTGAAGCGGGAGGATCCCTTGAACTCAGGAGTCAGAGGCTGCAGCGAAATATGATTGTGCCGCTGTACTCCAGCCTGGTTGACAGAGCAAGACTGTTCCCCCACCCCCCTGAAAAAAAAAAAAAAACCTAAATCCAAATTTTAAAAGTTTCCTTGACTCTTCAACTTGCTCACCCTCCACCAAATAAAATAACTACGAAGGAGGCTTATTTTTTACTATTTCCAGGGATACGATATATGTTTGTCCTGAAAATATACATCATGGCTTTACTCAAGCCACAGTGATGAGGCCTCATTGTCACTGTAGCCTAATTACGATTTTATAACTCCATTTAAAATTCAATTTAAACACAGTTTAAAAATTCAGTCCAAGTCAAACATGCTCTCAGTAGCTAGAAGCAAAACTCTGTTCAGGTCCTTGATGGATCTATTTGTACTTTCTTTCATGAAAACAGAAAGTCCTTTTTTACACACCATGCAACAGGAAAATTCATAACGGACATTGTTTTACCTGTTCTTGGCAAAGACAAGTGAGCTCTTAACAAGCAAGGTAACTATGGAGATGATGTTTTGCTCCAAGTTAACACTTACATATTTAATTAGAAAGATTTCAAAGGTGGGCAGATTCACTGGAAAGTTTCCAAAAGCTTCACTTGTTCAACAAATAATGTTAGAGAGGGAGCACCGTGCCCTCGGGCCCCTAGGAATTAGTTCCACATGGTCCGGTCCTCTGTCCAGTGTGCCCAGCATCCACTTGGGAGAACAGCATGGCCTTCTGTCCAGGGCAGCCCACGCCAGCACTGCCTGCCCTTTCAGGCCCATGGCTCCCATTAAGTGCCATTTCGAGCATACTTAGCCAAGTTTCCCTACCATGGCCAACAAAGAGGTTGTTCAAAAATGCTTGTCAGGTCGGGCATGGTGGCTCACGCCTGTAGTCCCGGCACTTTGGGAGGCTGAGGCGGGTGGATCACCTGAGGTCAGGAATTCAAGACCAGCCTGGCCGACATGGTGAAACCCCGTCTCCACAAAAATACAAACATTAGTTGGGCATGATGGCGGGTGCCTGTAATCCCAGCTGCTCAGGAGGCTGAGACAGGAGAATTGCTTGAACCCGGGAGGTGAAGGTTGCACTGAGCTGAGATCACACCATTGCACTCCAGCCTGGGCGACAGAGTGAGAATCCATCTCGAAAAAAAAAAAAGTTTGTCAACGGTTTCACTGAATCCAGAATACTTTTCTAAAATGTCAACCCTATAGAATACATTTTATAAAATTATGAAGGCCTGGTCTGGTGTAGTGGCTCACGCTTGTAATCCCAGCACTTTGGGCAGCCAAGGCAGGTGGATCGCTTGAGGCTGGGAGTTTGAGACTAGCCTGGCCAACAAGGCAAAACCCTGACTCTACTAAAAAATACAAAAATTAACTGGGCGTGGTGGTGCACACCTGTAATCCCAGCTACTCAGGAGGTTGAGACAGGAGAATCACTTGAACCCAGGAGGTGGAGGTTGCAGTGAGTGGAGATTGCGCCATTGCACTCTAGCCTGGGTGACAGAGCAAGACTCTATCTTCAAAAAATAGATAAATAAATAAAAATTAAAACAAAATAAAATTATGAAGGCCTTAGGTCAGAGAATTACCGAGGGAATATTCAAAGTTATACCTCCAAGTATCTACAATGAAGATACTTTCATCAGAAAAAAGGAGTTTACGGCCAGGCCCTGTGGTTCATGCCTATAATCTCAGCACTTTGGGAAGCCAAGGCTGAGGCAGGAGGATCACTTGAGGCCAGGAGTTCGAGACCAGCCTGAGCAAAAACGTGAGATCCCATTTCTACCAAAAATAAAAATGTAAGGTAGGCATGCAACTGTAGTCCCAGCTACTCGAGAGGCTGAGGCAAGAGGATCGCTTAAACCCAGGACTCCAGCCTGAGCAACAGAGCGAGACCCTGTTTATAAAAAAAAAAGAAAAAAAAAAAGAAGAAGAAGAAGGAGAAGAAAGGAAATAAAATTTAAGAAAAAAAAAAGGACTTAATAAGGTTGAATGAAGGCAAGAATATTCTTAGCTCTGTTTAAGTCAAGACCTGAGTAGTAGCTCTACGTAGCTGTATGTCGATAATGTTTTTGAGACAGCACTACTGATAAATTGTTACATAATAAACTGTTATGGCTGGATGCAGTGGCTCATGCCCATAATCCCAGCACCTTGGGAGGCCGAAGTGAGTGGATCACCTGAGGTCAGGAGTTCGAGACTAGCCTGATCAATATGGTGAAATCCCATTTCTACTAAAAAAATAAAAATTAGCTGGGCATGGTGGCGCACCTGTAATCCCAGCTACTCAGGAGGCTGGGGCAGGAGGATTGCTTGAACCCAGGAGACAGAGGTTGCAGTGAGCCGAGATTGCGCCATTGCACTCCAGCCTAGAAGACAGAGCGAGACTCCATCTCAAATAAATAAACTGTTAAATTAAGTTTAGCCTAAAGCTACCCCCTTACATATTTTAAGTTCAGTCTAAAGGTTTCCCTGCACATAGTGAACTGTAACCTAACTGGATGCGTAAACAGACTATAACCTACTCTTGGGCCAGTCACTGAGTTTTGGTCAATCAAAGGCAGCCAACTGTTCAAACCAGGTTAAAATAAGGCAGATGCTGAGCTCTAACCAGTCCAGCCATTTCTGTACCTTGCTTCCATTTTCTGTCCATCACTTTCCCTTTTCTGTCCATAAATCTTCCACCACGTGGCTGTGCTGGAGCCACTGTGAAACTATTCTGTTTCAGGGGCTGCCCAATTCATGAATCATTCCTTGCTCAATTAAACTCTGTTCATTTAATTTGTCTAATATTTTTCTTTTAATCAAAGTAATTTGGCCGGGCACAGTGGCTCACGCCTGTAATCCCAACACTTCGGGAGGCCGAGGTAGGTGGATCACCTGAGGTCAAGGGTTCAAGACTAGCCTGGCCAACATGGTGAAACCCCGTCTCTACTAAAAGTACAAAAATTAGCCGGGTGTGGTGGCGGGCGCCTGTAATCCCAGCTACTCGGGAGGCTGAGGGAGGAGAATCGCTTGAACCCGGGAGGTGGAAGTTGCAGTGAGCTGAGATTGTGCCATTGCACTCCAGCTTGGGCGACAGGGCAAGACTCTGTCTCAAAAAAAAAAAAAAAATTAATTCAGAGACCTACTCATGTGAAGTTGTATTTTTTTATTCTCCATATTACAAAACAGAACAATTGGCACAGGGATGAAGAAATACTTTGCAAAACATCTAGAGAGGTTAAATGCCATGAGTCTTTAAAATGTAAGACTGCTTTCACCTGAGCAATCTAGTGTCCATTTCTAGAGCTAGCTTAAATGTCCGTGTAAATCCCCGTAATTGGTTGGGATAACAATTACCTATGTTGTATAACTTGAGTCAAAAACTACGTTTCCACTGCCTGCCACCCCTATGGATGGTTTTCTCTTAAGGTATCAAATTTTACTGGGAAAGACCTAGATAAAATACAGCGAAAATGAGGCGGGGCGTCCTGGCACATGCCTGTAATCCCAGCGCTTTGGGAGGCTGAGTCAGAAAGATCTTTGAATTCAGGAGTTCAAGACCAGCCTGGGCAATATAGTGAAATCCTGTCTTTACAAAAAATTAAAAATTAGCCAGGCATGGGGGCATGGGCCTGTAGTCCCAGCTACTTGGGTTGGGTGACTGATGTGGGAGGATCACTTGAGCCCAGGAGGTTGAGGCTGCAGTGAGCTCTGACCATGCCCCTGCACTCCAGCCTGGGTGACAGAGCAAGACCCAGTCTCAAAAAGAAAAGAAAAAGAGTAATGTTAGGTCAAGGTAGAACCTACCTTGACTTTCTGTTACTATGGAAGATATTCTGGGGTATCTCTGAGATCCAAGTATTATGGCACTTAAGTAATTCCTATCTATTGTTCTACTTGGTTCCTCGGGAGTAAAAGTCATATTCAAACCAAAAAGGCTGTGGGATTTCCAGAATTTTAAAAGCAATAATAGTTAATGTTCTCCCATGGGAGTTACTCCACATTTTTACATATGTTCCATATGTTAACTCATTTAGACCTTACCTTTATGAGGTAAGTCCTCTTCTTATCCCCACTTTAGAGGTGGGAAAACTGAGGCACAGAAAGAGTAAGTTGCTTGCCTAAGGCCCTGTTACTAGCAGGTGGTGAAACCAGCATTCCAACCCGGGAGTCTGGCAAATGTGTGTGAAGAGCACACGTTTGGAAATGACAGTCATGAGGACACTGTAAGACTTCTGGAATGTTTATAATTTCACCTTTGCTTGTTATTTTTCCTGTCTGTTTCCCTAGAGTGAGCTGAGTGAAAAAAGAAAGAAGAAAGAAAGAAGAAAGAGAAAGAGAAAGAAAGGAGAGAAAAAGAAAAAAGAAAAGAAAAACAGAAAAAGGGAAAGAAAGAAGAAATGAAAGAAAGAAAAGAAAAGAAGAAAGAAAAGAAAGAGAGAAAGGAAGGAAGGAAGGTGGGAGGGGAGGAAAGGAAGAAGAAAGAAAGAAGGGGGACAGAGGGAGGGAATGAAGGAGGGAGAGAGGGAGGGAAGGAGGAAGAAATAAAAAGATGAGGATCTGTATGCTTGAGGGGTGGAGGTGGGGGGCTTGGGTGGGAGTGTGGGATGGGCAGAAAGCTGGAGGGAGCCCTGGACCGACTGCATTCCACAGAGGATTGTGGGTGCAACGTAGGTGGCAGATTGAGAAAAGCAAACAAACAAGCTCAGCCTTTGGAGCTTCGGGGAAGAAAAAAAGCTGAGCAGTGAATGCTGGCTTCCCACGGAGAAGGCAGGCTGCTTCGCCAGCTCACATCCTTCCGCGCACCCACTTCCTCTTTCCGGAGGTCACTTTAGATTGCTTTATGGCAGGATCTCCAGGTCACAGGAATGTTATGTTTCGACTGGGGTTTCCCCCTCCCCTGGGATGCCTGGGCCAGCTCCCCAAGGGCTAGTCTCTGTCCCAGGCCCCACACTCCCATAGCACTCAGCAAAAGCCTAGAGAGAGCACCGCAAAATGCCAAACGCAACAGGACCGCGTAGGAAGAAGACGCTTGGAATGACAGGGACACTAGAACTGCCCATGGTCGTGGTCTCAAATTTTTGTTCCATGGTCTGAAATACTAAAAGTTCTTAAACAGCTACTTGATTTCATACTATTGTTTTGAAGAAAACAGTGTTTGTTTGTTGTTTTGTTTGTTTGTTTGTTTGAGACAGAGTTTTGCTCTTGTTGCCGAGTTTGGTCCATGTTGGTCAGGCTGGTCTCGAACTCCTGACATCAGGTAATCCACCCACCTCTGCCTCCCAAAGTGCTGGGATTACAGGAAAACAGTTGTTTCTTTAAAACAATTATATAGGCTGGGCACGGTAGCTCATGCCTGTAATCCCAGCACTTTGGGAGGCTGAGGTGGGTGAATTACCTGAGGTCAGCAGTTCGAGACCAGCCTGGCCAACATGGTGAACCTCCGTCTCTACTAAAAATGCAAAAAATTAGCCGGGCGTGGTGGTGCATTCCTGTAATACCAGGTACTCAGGAGGCTGAGGCAGGAGAATCACTTGAACCCAGGAGGTGGAGGTTGCAGTGAGCTGAGATGGCACCACTGCACTCCAGCCTGGGCAACAAGAGCAAAACTCCATCTCACAATCTCAAAAAAATAAAATAAAATAAAATAAAATAAATGGTTATATAAGCTACCTTATTGATGCAGTTACAAATGAGCCGCTGAAACATATAAATTTTAAAGAACAAGCCACATATCTTTCATCACCCACAGCTTCACCAACTAAAGGTGTATGTAGTACTTTTGTGGAAGGCATTTCCACATGCTTTGAGGGACCTTGAAATACTGCTATGATTACATGATTTTTCTAAAACCAGACTACTCCTACATTACAAGAATTGAAAAGTTCAGAGTAAATATTTGTAAGACCTAGAAAAGATGATGTTCTTTAAAAAAAACGATGCCCATCTTTGTAGCGAAAAGAAAGAGAGATCAGACTGTTACTGTGTCTATGTAGAAACAGAAGACATAAGAGACTCCATTTTGAAAAAGACCTGTACTTTAAACAATTGCTTTGCTGAGATGTTGTTAATTTGTAGCTTTGCCCCAGCCACTTTGACCCAACTACTTTGACCCAACCTGGAGCTCACAAAAATATATGTTGTATGAAATCAAGGTTTAAGGGATCTAGGGCTGTGCAGGACGTGCCTTGTTAACAAAATGTTTGCAAGCAGTATACTTGGTAAAAGTCATCGCCATTCTCTAGTCTCAATAAACCAGGGGCACAAGGCACTGTGGAAAGCCGCAGGGACCTCTGCCCTGGAAAGCGGGGTGTTGTCCAAGGTTTCTCCCCATGTGGTAGTCTGAAATATGGCCTCGTGGGATGAGAAAGACCTGACCATCCCCCAGCCCAACACCTGTAAAGGGTCTGTGCCGAGGTGGATTAGTCAAAGAGGAAAGCCTCTTGCAGTTGAGATAGAGGAAGGCCACTGTCTCCTGCCTGCCCCTGGGAACTGAATGTCTTGGTATAAAACCCGATTGTACATTTGTTCAATTCTGAGATAGGAGAAAAACCGCCCTATGGCGGGAGGCGAGACATGTTTGCAGCAATGCTGCCTTGTTATTCTTTACTCCACCGAGATGTTTGGGTGGAGAGAAACATAAATCTGGCTTACGTGCACGTCCAGTCATAGTAACTTCCCTTGAACTTAATTATGACGTAGATTCTGTTGCTCACATGTTCGTTGCTGACCTTCTCCTTATTATCACCCTGCTCTCCTACTACATTCCTTTTTGCTGAAATAACGAAGATAATAATCAATAAAAACTGAGGGAACTCAGAGATGGTGCCGGTGCAGGTCCTTGGTATGCTGAGCGCCGGTTCCCTGGGCCCACTGTTGTTTCTCTATACTTTGTCTCTGTGTTTTATTTATTTTCTCAGTCTCTCGTCCCACCTGACTAGAAATATCCACAGGTGTGGAGGGGCAGGCCACCCCTTCACATCTTGTCTCCACTTCCTTGATTAAAAAAAAGAAAAGAAAAAAAAATTTGCCGAAGTTGGATTCATTCACAGAATTCTACACATTAAAAATGTTGCAGGTCGGGTGTGGTGGCAGCTCCCAAAGCTGCCTATAATCCCAGCGCTTTGGGAGGCTTGAGCCCAGGAGGTCAAGGCTGCAGTGAACTGAGATCGCACCACTGCACTCCAGCCTGGGCGACAGAGCAAGACCCTGTCTCAAAGAAAAAAAAAAAAACAGAAAAAAATAACGTTACAGAAAAAGTACAATATTTTTAATATATATATATATATTTTTTTTTTCTGAGACAGAGTGTTGCTCTGTCACCCAGGCCGGAGAGCTATGGCTCGATCTCAGCTCACTGCAACCTCCACCTCCCGGGTTCAAGCGATTCTCCTGCCTCAGCCTCCCGAGTAGCTGGGATTACAGGCACCCACCACCACGCCTGGCTAATTTTTGTATTTTTAGTAGAGACGGGGTTTCCCCATGTTGGCCAGGCTGGCCTCGAACTCCTGACTTTATGATCCGCCTGCCTTGGCCTCCCAAAGTGTTGGGATTACAGGTGTGAGCCACCATGCCCAGCCAAAAGTACAATATTTTTAATGACATATAAAGATGTTCATTCTTTGTGGTTGCCCTGGGTGAGAGGGACTATTGATACTCAATAGTGTTTCTTTTGTTTCTACATTGTTTCTATAGTGAAAATACGCATTGGCTTTGTATTAAAAAATGTATAGTAAAAATGGTTTTATTAAAAATAGCAAATAACTACAAAAACTCCATTGCAATGGAAAGCAGCCCTTGGATTTTCTAGTTGAATGAAACGAGTAATTTATCCAATGTTAGAAATGTCTAAAGGCTCGCTCAGGTTTCATGAGCAGAACAGGAATTGTATATCCAATTAAATGTGAAATTGCAATGCCTGGTGCGGTGGCTTATGCCTGTAATCCCAGCACTTTGGGAAGCCGAGGCAGGGGATCGCTTGAGCCCAGGAGTTCGAGACCACCATGGGTAACATGGGGAGGCCCCATCTCTACAAAAAATAAAAATCGTTAGCCGGGCAGGTTGGTGCATGCTTGTGTTCCCAGCTACTTGGGAGGCTGAGGTGGAAGGATCCTCTGAGCCCAGGAGGATGAGGCTGCAGTGAGACATGATCGATGCACTCCAGCCTGGATGACAGAGTGAGACCCTGTCTCAAAAAAAAAAAAAAAGAAAAGAAAGTACAATCGCAATTAAATGTCTTTGCGTTGGTGGCTCCTGACCAAATTCCCTAAGCAAGCAGTATGTTAATGAGCAGAGGGGCCACAGCTCACCTTGCTCAATTAAAGGCAGGAGCAGGCCGGGCGTGGTGGCTCACGCCTGTAATCCCAGCACTTTGGGAGGCCAAGGTGGGCGGATCACGAGGTCAAGAGATCGAGACCATCCTGGCCAACATGGTGAAACCCTGTCTGTACTAAAAATACGAAAATTAACTGGGCATGTGGCATGAGCCTGTAATCCCAGCTACTCGGGAGGCTGAGGCAGAAGAATTGCTTGAACCCGGGAGGTGGAGGTTGCAGTGAGCCGAGATTGCACCACTGCCCTCCAGCCTGGTGACAGAGCGAGACTTCATCTTAAAAAAAAAAAAAAAAAAGGCAGGAGCAAGTATGGGCCAGACAGAAATCAAGGTGTAAATTGGGCAGATCCTCAGGCCCAGTGCTGAATTTTGGTTTGATGAAATAAAACATTACATTTCAAGGTTGGCAGAGAGGAATGAAGGTGGAAGAGGAATCTAGGGCCATTTAGGGAAGCCATGAAGCCTCCTGCCCACACTAGTGGGTAGAGTGGAGCCAGGCGTTTTGCTAGGGCTTGCTATATCTCTTGGCAGGGTGCTCTGCTGCCAAAGCCAAGAATTCTAAATTAGATTAAATAGCCAGAAAGAATGTTAAACATTTGGACATGATATCCTCCCTCACAGATTAGCTAGAGTGTAGTTCTGCTGTGCTAGATACTTAAATAAATACCTCCCTAGCTGTGAAGCCTGCTTATCACAGTACTATATTTTAGGATGAGGTCATTATTTTCCTATGCATACACATGCATTGTATAATCTTGCCAATGTAGGTCAGCCCAAAAGAAGTGACAAATGTGTAGAACACACATTGGACTAGCTTGGGACAAAATTAGTATACCTAAAGATGACAGATTTCTTAACTAATTTTATGAGCCATGCAGCTTTGTATTCTAGCAGAGACAGACATTAGGAATCTTATAAAATCAAAAATTTTAATTTTTGCCTGAATAGCTCCAAAGGGCTAAGATCTCAAGCAAATGCGTGTAGGTTTTGTTTTTGTGGTTGTTGTTGTTTTTAGAGACAGGGTCTTGCTCTGTCACCCATGCTGAAGTGCAGCGGTGCAGTCCTAGCTCACTGCAGCCTTGACCTCTCAGGCTTAAGTGATCCTCCTGCCTTAGCCTCCCGAGTAGCTGGGACTACAGGCGCATGCCACCACCCCGAGTAATTTTTTATTTTTATTTTTACTTTTGTAGAGACAGGGGTCTCAATATGTTGCTCAGGCTAGTATCTTTTTTCTTTTTGAGACAGTCTCGCTCAATTGCCCAGGCTGGAGTGCAGTGGTGCCATCTCGGCTCACTGCAAGCTCCGCCTCCCGGGTTCACGCCATTCTCCTGCCTCAGCCTCCCGAGTAGCTGGGACTACAGGCGCCCGCCACCATGCCCAGCTAATTTTTTTTGTATTTTTAGTAGAGACGGGGTTTCACCGTGTTAGCCAGGATGGTCTCGATCTTCTGACCTCGTGATCCACCCGCCTCAGCCTCCCAAAGTGCTGAGATTACAGGCGTGAGCCCTCGCGCCCGGCCCAGTCTTGTAACTTAACTTTAAAGCTACTTATTCCCAAATGAAGATGGGATGGTACACAGATTTTAAGTATTAGCTGGTTTGGAGCTTCTGTCTTTTAAAGCAACATTTTACTTTGCCACAGGGTGGTGGGGCGGGGGCCATCCTAGAAAGAAGAGTGTGAGTTTCATGGGATAGGGTCTGGGGAGGTGGCTGGAGGAGTTTAGGTTCTTTTGATATCTGTGGCTACACAGACAGATAACCAAGGAAAATGTCCAAACAGTGAAATTAAGTGCTCACTGCACTAACACAGAGAAGGACCCTGATGTCTGGCCGCAGGCCTTTGTTCTCATTGGCTTCAAAGAACTTCTTGATGTCTACCTTAATTTCATTATTATTTACCCAGGAGTCATTCAGGAGCAGGTTGTTCAATTGCCATGTAGTTATGTGGTTTTGAGTGAGTTTCTTAATACTGAGTTCTAATTTGATTGTGCTGTGGTCTGAGACACTGTTTCGATTTCAGTTCTTTTGCATTTGCTGAGGAATGTTTCATTTCCAATTATGTGGTCGATTTTAGAGTAAGTGCCACGTGACGCTGAGAAGAATACATATTCTGTTGATTTCGGGGGGGAGAGTTCTGTAGATATCTATTAGGTCCACTTGATCCAGAGCTGAGCTCAAGTCTTGAATATCCTTATTCATTTTCTGTCTCGTTAATCTGTCTAATATTGACAGTGGGGTATTCAAGTCTCCCACTATTATTGTGTGGAAGTTTAAGTCTCTGTGTAGGTCTCTAAAAACTTGTTTTATGAATCTGGGTGCTCCTGTATTGGGTGCATATGTATTTAGGAGAGTTAGCTCTTCTTGTTGAATTGCTCCCTTTACCATTATGTAATGCCCATCTTTGTCTTTTTTGATCTTTGTTGGGATAAAATTACATTTTATGTCCCCCTTCCTATAGTTTGTCACTGAGGGTTGGCAGAAGTTGAAAGGAAGAAGACATTTGGGTGTTTGGTTTGGGGTTATATTAGGTTATAAGGTTCATTGCCTCCACCTCTTTCAAAACATTTAGTTTCTAAATGAATCCAGCTTTAAATGACTGCAGGAGTGCCCATGCACAATTTTGTTTCTCAAATCTTTGGGATTTTTCCTTGAAGAATATTCACAGGGAATGGGGCTGTCTTGCTTCATAGTTACTCTTTTGTATACATGATCTCAAGAATCGCCTGATCACTGCTAGAGTTAAACCAATACACTAACTGCCTGAAGTGCTGAAAAGTCAAATGGGGGCTTAGAACCTCACTCCAGATCCTACACAAGCTGATGGTTCTGTTCCCAGAAACAACCCAGCTTCCTCATCATCTATGGCCAGTGCCTTGTAGCGGAGCTGGAGATCACCCTTTAGTGGGCTCTTCAGCTGGATCTAGAAATCAAATTGACACCAGGCAGATTAACAAGAGAAAAGTATACAGATTTTATTGCTTTTATATGTACTTGGGAATCTGCACAAGGGCAAAGTCCGAAGAGGTGGCCAAAGCAAGGTGCTTTTATACATTTTTAGAAAAAGAGCCAAAAAATTGGAGAAGAAATGATAGGACAAAGAAAATCTAGCCAGGCAGTAAATTTTCTAGGAGAATCACTAGGACATATATGAGGAAGGGTGTGTAAAACAGGTGAAAGATAAGGGCTAGTTCATTAAACATGTTTACTCTGGTCCATTGTAGCCTCTACGATAAGGAGTATTTTCTCGCTCTGGTGTGGACAGGGCACGCCTCCCAGAGCAACCTTTATCACTTACTGCATGCAGGAAGAGACAGGTCAGCCCGCCCTTCCTGAAACTACAATTTCTTCAGTGTTTTCAACTCAAAATAATCAATACCCCCCATCTGGCATATCTGGGGATGGCACGTCCTTTACTCCTTCAGGCTCTTCTCCCTGAAGGTCCTTTGCATAGTTGGGAATCTCCACCAGGAGGGGTAGCTCTTTGGTCTAAACCCATGGTGGCAGAGTTTCGACAATATTCCCAACTTAAATGTTTCTGATTCTGAGTGGTGGTTAGATCCCTTTGTACACCCCTGTCCCCAGTGCCTACAGAATGGGCATGTTAATAAGTGTTGGCTGAACATTCAATGATGGATAAGGAAGAATAGGAGGCAAGAGAGACGGTGGTCTCCAGTGCCAAGCCCCAGTGCTAACTGGGGTGATTTTTTTTCATGACTCATTTTCCTAAAATCACCCTCAAGGGTCCTACAAAACTCTTCCCAACAGCTAAATCACAGACTAATCTGGCCCATCGACGTCTTCCCTGATTATACTAATTTTTTTGTGTTTTTTTTTTTGAGATGGAGTCTTGCTCTGTCACCCAGGTTGGAGTGCAATGGCACTATCTCAGCTCACAGCAACTTCCACCTCCTGGGTTCAAGCGATTCTCCTGCCTCAGCCTCCTGAGTAGCTGGGACTGCCAGCATGCGCCACCATGCCCGGCTAATTTTTTTTTTTTTTTTTTTAGTAGAGATGAGATGGGGTTTCACCATGTTGGCCAGGGTGGTCTTGAACTCCTGACCGCAAGTGATCCGCTTGCCTCGGCCTCCCAAAGTGCTGGGATTACAGGTGTGAGCCACTGCGCCCGACCATATATTAATGGTTTTTGATGAATTTGTTCCATAGATTAAAATCTTGTGCCCCATCGCGTGTGGGGCTCCATCGCATGTGGGGCACAGGGTTCCTGAGTGTTTGTGGCTGTCAAACCAAGATGATTTCTTGCTTAATCAAGCAGATTTGAAAGTTCATCTCTGCTACCAGGAAGCACTTGCTCAACTCAGAAGACAATGTCCTATCAGTCTTTCACTATCACGCATCTGTTCTTCAAGATCCGTCAAATTAGCTCCAGTGAAACGGAGGCTAAAGTGAAACTTTTTCTCTTATATAGATTTTTATTCATAACTAGGGAAAAATTAGGCACCCACAGAAAAATAATAACCTAAAAAAATTAGGCTGAACGTAAGAAAAATTTGTGATGAAATAAACATTTCAATCAACAGAAAATATTTTTCTGACTTTTTATGTGCCACCATTAGTTACATCATTGAGAAAACAATATTTGTATTAAAAAAAGAGCTGGTGAAAATCTGGCAATTGGTCGGGCATAGTGGCTCGTGCCTGTAATCCCAGCACTTTGGAAGGCCGAGGCAGGCGGATCACTTGAGGTCAGGAGTTTGAGGCCAGCCTGACCCACGTGGTGCAACCCCCTCTCAACTAAAAATACAAAAATTAGCTGGGCGTGGTGGCAGGCGCATGTAATCCCAGCTACTAGGGAGGTTAAGGCAGGAGAATTGCTTGAATCTGGGAGATAGAGGTTGCAGTGAGCCGAGACTGAGCCACTGCCTTCCAGCCTGGTGACAGAGCAAGACTTCATCTCTCTCTCTTTTACTTTTTTTAAAGACTTCTTCTCAAAAATAAAAAGAAAGAAAGAAAATCTGGCAATCCAGTAAAAACTGGCCACTATGGCATGCATGTGCTATGCATAAACGTAAATTGATGCATAAACTTAATTTTAGAACTGGAAGGAAATCTGGAGTTCTTTAGGAGCCAGGTTTTACACATGCAGAAACCTAACAGCTTCAGTTTCGATTCGATAAAATTTGACTAACTAAACTTAAGATAAGCATAGTTACGCATTAGAGTATTAACTCTCAAACTTTTAAAAAAGAATTCTTCCTTTGCTTGTTAATTTTCTTTCTTTCTTTTTTTTTTTTTTGAGATAGGGTCTTGCTGTCGTCCAGGCCGAAGTGCAGTGACGTCATCATAGTTCACTGCAGCCTCTACCTCCCCGGCTCAAGTAATCCTCCTGCCTCAGCCTTCTGAGTATCTGGGACTACAGGCATGAGCCACCATGCCCAGCCTTTTCTTTTCTTTTCTTTCTTTTCTTTCTCTCTCTGTCTCTCTTTCTTTCTTTTTTCCTCCCTTTCTTCTTTTTTTTTGATGGAGTCTTGCACTATCGCCAGGCTGGAATGCAGTGGTGCGATCTTGGCTCACTGCAACCTCCGCCTCCGGGTTCAAGCAATTCTCCTGCCTCAGCCTCCTGAGTAGCTGAGACTACAGGTGTGTGCCACCACGCCAGCTAATTTTTTTATTTTTCTAGAGACGGGGTTTTACCATGTTGGCCAGGATGGTCTTGATCTCCTGACCTCATTCTCCACCTGCCTAGGCCTCCCGAAGTGCTGGGATTACAGGCATGAGCCACCGTACCTGGCCCTTTCTTTCTTTTTATCAAGACAACAACATGTCTTTATAGTGCTCCCAAGGCTAAAGTATACCTTACGTCTATGTAAACACTCAACCTGAGCTTTGCAATGGCCCATGTTGGCAGTAGTGCAAACAAAAACAATTATGAAACCCATTTTCCTTTGACAAAGAGAAATAAGTGGCAAGAATTGGTTCTTTCTCTTAGTATGGGTCTCTGAAAAGAACCAGATCAGTCAAAAGGGGAATATTTTTCTGAAGGGATAGGTTTGGCCTAGTGGCTTCTACCTCTTTTAGATGACTGCTGTTTCTCGTTTTAATGTTAAATAGACACTAATAGGAGAAATCACATTAATTCAGTCAACAAACATTTACTGAGCACTTCCTGTAGTCAGGCCCTCTGTTAACTTCTGGGAATACAATGACAACTCTGACAATCCCAACCCAAGGAGCCAACAAGTCCGGGAATAGAGACAGACAAGAAAACAGACAATTACAACTCTACCGTTAGAATAAAGGTACATTGAGAACTTGCAACAAATATTCCTCATCCCTTATCTTAATTATTCATAACATGTTTACCACCAATAAGAATAGCAATAACAATAAATGCCCAACTCAGACAGCAATGTCCATTTACCCTGTGTTTACACAGCATAATACAAGCAAGCTGTGGACAGAGATTCTCTTGTTTAGTCCTCACAACTCTGCAAGGTGGGTTTTATTACTCTCCATTTCTAGATAAAGGATCTCACCTAATATTACATGGGCCAGTGGTCTTCCAGTTGGGGTATGCACAACCCTAGGGGTAGGTGAGGACCCTGCCTGGGGTCTTCAGGTGGGGACCATCAACCTCCATTTGTACTCTTTTCTGAACATTGGTCTGAGACAGAAAGTCCCTGCAATTAAGGCATTAAGCTGGCTCTTTTTCTATTTCTCATTTCATAATTGCCCTTCTCCTGCTTTACCAAAATCTTTCACCCCCCATCATATATATATATCCCCATACATATTCTATATATACATACCCTACATATGCATGCACACACATCATATATATGTATGCATATATGATATATACATATATGCTATGTAAACATATATAGTGTGTATATACATGTGTGTATGTGTATATGTGTGTATATGTGTATATATACACGTGTGTGTGTACATATATACATCATATATGTGTGTCTATATATGTATATATGGGTGTGTCTATATATGTGTATATGTACGCAAATACGTATATGTGATGTATATATATAAGATGTGTGTGTGTATATATATGTGTTTGCATGTGTGTGTGTATATATATATAGTATATACATATTTTTTGAGACAGCATCTCACTCTGTCGCCCAGGCTGAAGTTCGGTGGCTGATGACAGCTCACTGCAGCCTCCCGGCTCAAGTGATTCTTCCACCTCAGCTTCCTGAATGGCTGGGACTAGAGGCGTGTGTCACCACACCCAGTTAGTTATTTTATTTTTCGTAGAGATGGTGGTCTCACTGTATTGCCCAGGCTGGTCTCGAACTCCTGGGCTCAAGCGCTTTTCCACCTCGACTTCCCAAATTGCTGGGATTACAGGTGTGAGCCACTGCACCGGCCCATCCTTTATTTTAATATTATGCAGTGCCCTGAGACATATAAAAAACCCACCTTCCCAAGTAAAGGAAATTCAAGCTGATGCCTGCAGAGCCTTCTTTAACAAAGGCTCTGAAATACCCTCTCTCATTAAAATGATACTTTCCAATAAAATTTTGTTTAACAATGATTTACAAAATGATAAAATTTATTTATTTTGATTGTGTATGGATCATGGTAACAATAAAAAGACTTGTAAAAATAACTAAATTGAAAGAATCTTGAACATTTAGAGCCTTAAGACTGTAGGAATTGAAGACCACAGAATTATTAATTTATATTAATATTTTTGTTGCAGAGACATAATGAATGATCAACGAAAGGCTTTTAAGCGTTAAAAATATATTACACTAGATAAAATTATTTGCGGGAATGGGATGGAAATACATTTTCAAGAGAGAAAGGAGCAATGTAAAATGAAGATGTAAAATCCTTCTGCTGGTTGTCCTTGGGGTTTTCTTTTAAAGAAAAGCTTGGCAGTGTTTTTCTTTTTTTCCATTGGATGATGGTGAATATCAAATCACTTTGGTGCTAATATTTCATTTAATACATTAATTTTAAAATTTTCTGTAGAGGTGGGATCTCACTATGTTGTCCAGGCTGGTTTCAAACTCCTGGCCTCAAGCAATCTCCCTGCCTCAGCCTCCCACAGTGCTGGGATTACAGGTGTGAGCCACTGCATCCGGCCCCATTTAATACATTTAAAAGAGTGGTGTAACAATTTTTATTTAAAATGTCATATTTACAATATTCTAGAATGTATATCTTTTCAACTCATTAAACCTAAACATCCTTGTAAAAAGTGTGAAAAGTTATATAGTTTTTCAAAATTCGATTAGCAGTTACATAAGCATAAATGTTTAAAGTATGTATGGTACAGCCAGGCTTCAGTTCCCTGTCTTAAACACAAAGATCCATATCAATTCCAGATACTGCAATGGTTTGCTGTTTTTCCTGCTTCCCCCATCTCCAAATAAACTAAAGCATCAACATGCCTCACCTCACATAACCCTAAGTTTTCAGCAGTTGGCAGTTACACCTGGAAACCATTTTTCTAAAATAAACAACAACTGTTTGCTTACGGATCAAAATGCAAAGGACCATAACATTTAGCCTCACCTTCCTACTACAGATCGAGTTTAAAAGTGCCATGGTATAGCTAAATTATGAAGAAAGATATGAATATAACTGCAAAAGTGGAAGGAGATTTGGGATAATTCTTGCCCATTTTGTTAGGCCAAATGCATCTTTGTGCAAATTAGAAAAAGGTGGTCTTCATCCCTTCACTCCTATCCTTTTGGGGGTGGAGGGGCAGTGGCTAAAGTACAGACTAGGTTTCAGCTACCACATCCTCCTTCAGTTAGCTGCCCTCGGCGTGACAGAAACATGTGCAAACAGCCCTGTGCCTTTGTCTTATGTTCCAGCCAGCCAAGAAAAATAGTTGTAAAAGAGCAGCTGCTGTTTGGGGTAATGACCTTGGACCCTCCCCAATTTGTTCCAAGCCTGTTTTTGTATTCATTTTTCCCACATTTATGTTCCTGGATGGAAGCTTCCATATCTGCTCTTGGCCCTATTTGAAATTCCCCAGATTTCCTTCCTGGCTCCTGGCCTTTGGTTTTTCATGTGGCTCCTGATCCCACACGCTCCCTGAATTTGGATTCTCCTGTCATTTCAGGTGCGAGGTTTCCCACTACAGCCTCTTGGGCCTCACCTCCAATACCTCTTTCCCATCAGAACAGCCCGGACCTTCCCCTATGGTAGAGCAGAGACAGAATTTAAATGAATTCTCAAGAAGTGCTTGGACTCATATCTAGCAAAATTACATGGCATTTAACCTTTGACACAAAAAATGCAGCTTCTAGGAATCTATCTAAAGATACACTGTGGCAAATATACAAAAAGAAGCATTATTTATCAAGCACTATTTCCTAATAAAATAATTCTTAGGTCAGGCGCAATGGCTCAGGCCTGTAATCCCAGCACCCTGGGAGGCTGAGGAAGGCAGATGGCTTGAGCTCTGGAGTTCAGGACCAGCGTGGGTAACATGACAAAACCCCATCTCTAACAAAAATACAAAAATTAGCCGGGCATGGTGGCATGCACCTGTAGTCCCAGCTACTCGAGAGGCTGAGGTGGGAGGATCGCTTGAGCCTGGGAGGCACAGGTTGCAGTGAGCCAAGATCGCACCACTGCACTCCAGCCTGGGTGACAGAGTGAGACCCTGTCAAAGAAAGAGAGAGAGAGAGAGAAAGGAAAGAAAGGAAGAAAGGAAGAAAGAGAAAGGAAAGAGAAAGAAAGAGAAAAAGAAAGAAAGAAGGAAAGAAAGAAAGAAAAAAGAAAGAAAAAGAAAGAGAAAGGAGAAAAAGAATTCTTACTAATAAATGCAGGAGAAATGATAGAATTGAAATATCACCATTTTCAATTCCTAATGAAATAACGTATCTAGGCAATGACCATCAATAGCTAGATGCTAAAATCATCTGATCAAACACTGATGGGAACTTCGTAACAGATGGATCAGGCTAACAACATCTGAAACCACTAACTGGTTTTGATGTCATAAAAAGAAAAACAACCAGATATTTTCTGTCTCCTGATGAGTTGCAATTGGAGCTACATATCACCTGTAAAGTCTTCTGGCCAAAAAATTAAGCCCAGCCGGACCTTATTAAACCTTTAAATCTAACAATTAGTTTTGAAGCTTTTACAGATTAAATGAAGTCTGAGATTTGCTTCAAAATGAACCAGTGGTGGGGAGGAAGTGGGTGAGGTGTAGGTGAAACAAGATTGGCCACGTCGATAATTGCTGGAGCTGGGCGATGAAAGCACAGGTATTTATCACACCATCTCTCTACTTTTGTGTGTTTTTTTGTTTGTTTTTGGTTTTGGTTTTAAGGAGCAGAGAGTCTAATAGGCAAGAAAGAAAAGAGAAGGCTGAAGGAAGACGCTCCCCCGTACAGAGACAGAGGGAGGGGGCTCCAAAGCCGAAAGAGGAGGTCCTCTTGTGTATGTTTTAAAATACTCCCAGATAAAATATTTTTGGAAGAGTACTTGGTTGGATTCAACAGCTTTTTTTTAATTTAAAAAAATCACCTCAATTTTTTTGCTTGCTCTAACGTGCCATAGAAATTCCTGAGGTTTTACTTGTTGCTTTACAATGAACTGTGTAAACACAAGCTGGAAGAGATCAGCTATGCGCTGGAAGGGTTGGTTAAATATTGAGACTGCCTTGCTGAGGGAAGCCTTTTAATGAATCTCAGTAATTTTGCAAGAGAAAAGATAACAATGAACACTACATTAAACATCATTCTTTTGCACTTTGCTAAATATGTGTATGTAAATTACTGTCTGACTGTTACTGGATATATACAGCATATACATATGCACTTTTTTTACTGTTTTTTTTTTTTTTTTTTTTTTTTTTTTTTTACAGAGCTTGCTCTGTCACCTAGGCTGGAGGGCAGTGGCGCAGTCTCAGCTCACTGCAATCTCCGCCTCCCAGGTTCAAGCGATTCTCCTGTCTCAGCCTCCAAAGTAGCTGGGACTACAGGCGCCTGCCACCGCTCCTGGCTAATTTTTGTATTTTTAGTAGAGACAGGGTTTCACTATGTTGTCCAGGCTGGTCTCGAACTCCTGACCTCGTGATCCATCTGCCTCGGCCTCCCAAAGTGCTGGGATTACAGGCATAAGCCACCGCGCCCGGCCCATGTATACTATTTATACATTTTTAGTATCATTTTGTCTTTACATTTTACATAATTTCAGATACATTTTCCTCATATCAAATAATTCAGCATTTTTTAGTACTAACATCATAGTCTGTAAGCCATTCAAAAAATGTATTTCACAAAATAGGCTATCTCATCCTTTGAGCTATTGAGATGAATTAATTTATACTCCTCCTAAGATCCCTCTCGTCACTAAGATTCTTTTATTTTATGACAAAACCATAGTTCTAGAAGCTTGTTTCTCCCACCTGAAAAGACTGGATTTGGGACATGATCCTGTAGAACTTCGGAGGTAAGCCTGGTGAATCAGATCATAGGGGGTCTGGAGGGTGAAAAAAAAGAGTTTGGTGCTCATGGATGGGGCTAGTATTGGGGTGTAGGGGAGATTAGGTCAAAGCAAGAGGATTCAAAGGAGAAATGAATTCCTTTAGATTGGGGAAGATAATCGGAAGAGGTAGAAGACACCGTCCATGACACTTCCTGGGGAAGCAGATGTATGTATAAGGATGTGAGTATTGTGGTTTTGTAAAGAATGCATTCCTGAAGATGTTGCATAATTTAAAACCTACATATTTTGATTAATTTTCTCATGAGAATAGCAGGGTATGTGTTCTCGGCGCTCACAAATGTATAATCCATTGTGGCAAATTTTTGCTTTCACATATTTTTTTTTATCATTATTGTCACAGGTTCTGTGACGGAGTTCTGGTTTCTAAATTCACAGCATACCAAGGCAGTTCTTTAAAGTTCTTGATACTCTTTTATCATATCTAACTTGTATTCCAAAATTATTGAGTTGGAGCACATTTTCCCAGCACTTAGCACCGCTATTTCATGGATGGTTGGAGAGGGGGTCCAAAAATTTTACAATCATGTTAACAAAAGTGACACAGCAACAAAACAATAAGCAAAATCACTGCCAGAGTATTCCTTAGCTTGAAACAATACGGTTCACATCGATAGAATATGGCATCTATTTCTGTTTAATCAGTTAACCCTGCTAAGTAGCAAGAGCTTACAATTCATGTCTAAAATCATGATTTTTTTACTAGTTTTTTAAAAAATGTGGGCTCTATATATATAATTTAACATTTTGCTTGTAAGACTTAATTTTGCCTGGGTATGGTGGCTCATGCCTGTAATCCTAGCACTTCAGGAGGTTGAGGCAGGAGGACTGCTTGAGCCCAGGAGTTCAAGACCAGCCTGGGCAACACAGTGGGACCCCATCACTACCAAAAAAAAAAAAAAATTAGTCAGGCATGGTGGTGTGCACTTGTAGTCCCAGCTACTTGGGAGGCTGAGGTGGGAGGATCACTTGAGCCCAGGAGGTCACTGCTGCAGTGAGCCATTATTGTACCACAACACTCCAGCCTGGGTAATAGAGTGAGACTCTGTCTCAAAAAAAAAAAAAGACTATTTCTAAATGTGTGGCTATATTATACCATATAAATGTGGCTTCTTGGGCAAGGAAAGAGGACAATATAGATGAAAAAGAAATTGATCCTACCAGAAGTGATCCTTTTATCTGCATAACTCTCAGGCAGTTGTGGCAAATAATTGGCAATATCTATTGTTCTGAAACTGGTTTTCGCAACTTTTATTGGGAACACCATCCCCTCTCCTGCATGATCAGTTTCTCCTCTCCACGGATCATTCACATGAGTAAAGTCAGTAGCGTGCTGGTAAATGTTTAAGATCTTGTTCTTTGGGGGAAAAAGTTCCTAAGTTCTAGCAGTTGCCCTGGATAACTTCAAGGTATCAACATGGAAGTTATGTACAAAAATGGCTGTCACAAGCCAGTATGAGCTAACACCAACATACTACCCAGTGTTCTTCAAACTTCAGCTCACAGCCCATTAGTGGGGCTTGCAAACATTTTAGTGGACTATAAGCAGCATTTTTTTAAAATGAAAAAGTAGATTGTTTTACACATAACAGGAGTATTGTTTTGTACAATTTTTTTTTTTTTTTTTTTTTTTTTTTAGACACAGTTTCACTCTGTTGCCCAGGCTGGAGTACAGTGGTACAATCTCAGCTCACTGCAACCTCGGCCTTCTGGGTTCAAGCGATTCTCATGCCTCAGCCTCCCGAGTAGCTGAAATTACAGGCATGCGCCACAAGGCCCAGCTAATTATTGTATTTTTAGTAGAAACAGGGTTTCACCATATTGGCCAGGCTGGTCTCAAACTCCTGACCTCAAGTGATCCACCTGCCTCGGCTTCCCAAAGTGCTGGGATTACAGGAGTGAGCCAACGTGCCTGGTCAAAATTTTTGTTTTCGTAATTTTAAGTATGTGTGTAGTAAGTCTCAATGGAAATGTAATTCTTATGGCAGGTCACTTGAAAAAAAAGAAGTCTAAAAGTCACCAATGTAGTATCTTCTCTTTAAAAAAAAAAAAAAAACAACAGGAGAAAACCTGAATCTGCCCTTTGCTCCACTCCTTCCTCAGCTATAATGCTGCTTCTCCATTCCTCCTCACAGCAAACCTTTCTGAAATCTTTATAGTCATGGTTTCCACCAGTTCTTCACCTCCCATTTCTCAACACACTTCAGAGTCAGAGTCAGCAATGACATCCATGTTCCTAAGCCCATTGCTTACTTCCGTCCTCCTTGGCCTCTCAGCACACTTGGCACACAGGCTGTTTCTCTTTCTTTGGCATCTGTGACACCACTCTCAGCAAATTCCCCTGGTTGTCCCTTCTCAGTCTCATTTATTGGCGTTGTCTTATCTCCCCAGGGCTGTCCGAGGTGATTTTCTCCCACTACTCTCCTAGGTGGTGCCATCCAATCTCATGATGTCATATCATTCTTCCCTCATGCTTCAGCCATACTGGTTGGTGGCCTTTGTTTCCTGAACACATTTAATGCATTCTCAAGACCCTCAGGGACTTTGCAGCAGCTGCTCGCTAAGGCTGGAATGCTCTTCCCCACCATCTTCATATGGCTGTTTCCTTTCTTTCACTCACCAGCAGCTTAAACTTTGACTCCTCTGAGAGACTTTCCTTGTCACCCAACTAAGGTTGCCACTCAGGTGCTCCCAATTTAATCTTCTCTAAAACACATCACTGTATGTGTCCTCAACTAGAGTATAAGCTTCCTCGAAACAAGAACAATCAAAACTCCTTGCCCTCATGGAGTTTATAGTCTTATGATGGGTGAAGTAACATAAAATAAAAAGGCACCTTATATAGTATATTAGCATGACAAATGTTAGCCAGAAATAAAGCAAGGAAGAGTTGCTAGGGAGTGTGTATGAGTGTGTTTTGGGAGAGTGTTTGCAATTTTAAATATTGGTGGTCAGGAAGGGCCCCACTGAGAACTGACATTTGAGTAGACTTGAAAAGGGAAAAGGAAATATTGAGTAAAGATTTTAGGATGGGAGTGTGACAGGCCTGCTAGGAGAATAGCAAAGTCGCTGTGGCTGCTGCAGAAAAAGTGAGAAGGAAAGTAGTAGGAGATGAAATCACAGTGTGTGAGGATTCGGGCAGATCAGGAAGTGCTCGTGTAAGAACTGGATCTTTACTCAAAGAATGAGCAAAAATTAGTAGACGGTTGGCCGGATGCAGTGGCTCACACCTGCAATCCCAGGTTACAGGAGGCCGAGGCGGGCGGATCACTTGAGGTCAGGAGTTCAAGACTAGCCTGGGCAACATGGTGAAACCTCATCTCTACTAAAAATACAAAACTTAGCTGGGCATGGTGGCGCGCACCTGTAGTCCCAGCTACTCAGGAGGCTGAGGCACATGAATCACTTGAACACGGTAGGCAGAGGCTGCAGTGAGCTGAGAATGTAACACTGTACTCCACTCCAACCTGGGCAACAGAGTGAGACTGCCTCAAAAAAAAAAAAAAGTAGGTTTTAGTAAGGGATTAACATGATCTGAATTATGTTTTGTCATGACTTCTCTGGCTGTTGTGTTGAGACTACATTGCAGAGGGGCAAGGGCAAATATAGGGAGACCGATTAGGATACTGCAGTAATAATGTAAGAGATGTGGGACTCTATCTAGAAGGGCCCATGAGGTCCTTTGCATGCTAGTATTCTTTACTGCTGTGCCTGGCCATGATAGGCATTCAGTGAATATTTGCTTATTTAAAATAACACACTGGGCTAATTGAACAACAGTGCCAAATGAGGGAGATATTTCTAGGAATAAGTTCTTAGGATTTATGAACATTTTAATCCAGATTTTCTTTGTTAACTCTGCTCTCTGGCCCTTTCACTCAGCCCCGTTTGCACCTAAATATGACTTACAAAAGAAACACAGCATTTATGTGTACTTATTTCAACTTATTTTAGCTTTGTAAAGAAGTACAAGGTTGACTCAGGGCCCAGCTTGGTGTCTCATGCCTGTAATTTCAGCATTGTGGGAGGCCAAGGCAGGAAGATATTGTGAGCCCAGGAGTTTGAGACCAGCCTGGGCAACACAGTGGACCCTGTCTCTACAAAAAAAAATTTTTAAATTAGCTGGGCATAGTGGTGTGCGTCTATAGTCCCAGCTACTCCTGGGGCTGAGGTGGGAGGATCACTTGAGGGAAACCCTGTCTCAAAGTGGCGGGGCTGGGGGGAGACTCAGGCAGAATTGTGAAGATATTCAATTGCTCCTGACTTTATCAATAATCTAACATTTCAACCTAACATTGATATCTATTTTATGCAAAGCATTACACTATGCACTGGAGACTGTATAAGACAAGTTCCTTTTCTCAAACTACAGTCGAGTTGGATAGATAAAACACACAACACATACCAAAAGACAGCTATAAATCCAAGGCAGTGTATGTCAAGGGTAAATTCACCTATTCAGATTGGATCTTGAGAAGTGCATCAGGCTTGGAAAATGGGTAAGGAGGAGAGAAAAGCAACAGTGAATCAGAACATGAGTTCCCAGTTATGGGACTTGTAATGAATTCCTCAATTAAAACAAAAAATAATGAAAACAAAAGCCAGGGAGGAGAAAGCCCACGTTAATGACACTAAAATATATCTTTCCAAACAAATGTGGATAAAAGCCAAGTAGAGAAGATGAGAACTTTGAGGTCCCTAACAGAAAATAAACAGTAAGCAGCCAGCCATTCCAAGTGGCTGACATGACTTTGTTTAACTTTATTTGTATTTCTGGCTGGTGTGTTTACAGCCAATAGGTCAAACTATCAGTCAGTGTAGGGCCCTGAGAAGTCGGGTATTTAAGAGCATCTAATAGGCACAGAATTGTGCTCCATACTGCTTAAACTGTTCCCTAAGTGTCCAATTTGGAGAAAACACCCACACGCAGGATAACTGGCGAGTGACGCGGAGTGGCTGCGAGTCCAAGTTATCACTAACGGATGGGGAGCTTGGGCTGGGCACAGTCCAGCGTACTGAACCCTTCCCCCACCGTTTCACCTGCATACAGAGGTGTGTACTGTCAAAAAGCAGCGCCTCCAAGTCTCTTCTGGCACTGTCTGGACTTGGATCCGAGGCAGACGAGGAAGCTGAGAAAACCCTGGCGTTGACCCCGTGGACCTGGGCGCCCCGGGAAGGCCAGCGCTTGGTCCAGGCAGGCGGGGCCTGTGCGGTGACCACCCTGGTCCTGAAAAGTCCCAGCCCCGAGCGCCCTCCCTCCTAGACCTGGAGGCCTGGAACAGCCAGGTGGACGTCGGCCCACCTTTCTTTTCTTTCCTTCCCATTTTCCTACCACCTCCCACCCCACTCCGCCTTCCGGGCAAAGGCAGCCAGATCCACCCAGGACACATTCTTTGTCCTTATCCCTCTGTGCTCGTCCCACAGCAAGCCAGTCGCGGTCCAAGGCTCCAGAGGCTGTGCAGGAGGCCGAGCTGGGTGGCGATCAGCGGCGGGTCCCTGTCCAAAACCCAGCAGAGCCGCCAGGGACGCCCCAGACACAGAAGGCGGGGCGCGGGGAGGGTGGGGAGACCACAGCAGTGAGGCGCGCGAGCCGGGAAGTGAACGAGGACTGACTCCTGTCGCTTCCCGTAGCCGCCCACGGACGCCAGAGCCGGGAACCCTGACGGCACTTAGCTGCTGACAAACAACCTGCTCCGTGGAGCGCCTGAAACACCAGTCTTTGGGTGAGTCGCGCGACCCCCGGCCTCGGGTGGCGGGGCAGTCGCTAGAGGCGTGGCTGCTCTGAGGGTCTCGCCAGTGGAGGATGGCATTCGGATGTCACGGCTCCTAAATCACCATTTGATGGGTGGGACAGTGTCCAGTCCACCCCGACCCGCCGGTCCTCACCGCGGCAGAGCCGGGGCTGGGTGGCGGGGACGCTGCCTCTGCAGGCGAGGCGCTCCGGGGCATAAGGGATTATCAGGAGTCGCGGCCTTTCTTGGACATCCCTGGCTGGGGTCAGGCTGTTTGCCCTGGGGTGTCTCCTCGCTGCAAACCCACCCCACCTGGGCTGCTTTCTCACCTGTTCCCTCCTAGCCTGAGGCCGAGCGCCACCTCCAAGTGGAGGAATCTGGGGAAGTTTCCTTCCCGGAATTTGTAGTGACAGTGGAGTGACCTCCATTGCGTTCCCTGCCTCTAACACGCTCTTTAGGATGCCGAGTCATTTGACTGCAGTGTTAAACATTGCAAAGCGCAAGTCATGTGACTTCCTTTGACCGTACGTGAAACTTAAGTGATGGCTGCTTGTGATGCATACGAAGTGTTCATGCTGGCGGGACCTGTCCCTGGGGATACTTCGGGGGTTGCGTGATTTAATGCAAGCAGATGGCTTAAATTGGGTCACTGGCTTGTTATTATACATGTGTATGGCAACTCGGCATCCATTCTTTTTGCTCTTGTTCTTACTTCCTGAATTGAGTCACGGAGCCAGAGTTTTGAGGTTTTGACTAACGAATTAAGTTAATGACATGGGGCTATATTTAGGTGGTAAACCAAGAGGGATACAGTTTTTTTTCTTAATAAAGAAAAAGTGATAGATTTGATCGGTGTGTATTGTTGGTGTGCAGTATAATGACAGAATTGCTGGAAGTAAAATACAGGAAGCTCTGGTTTCATTTCCCCTTTAGTTCTGCTTAAAGTCGAGTTTTTCCTGGAGCTATTAAATGTAGTGTAGTGTCCATGAGTGCTTTTATCTTAAAAAATGTGGCTGATGCTTTCCAACACTCCCCTGCCCTGTGATTATTATTTTTTTAAGCAACAGAGAAAACCGTATCTTAATAGTATTAAAAGTATTGGATTTTTCCCTACTTTGATTTGTTTAAATTGGAGGAGGAAGAGCAATTCTTTCTATTCACAATAATAATAGCTAACATAGCGCTTACTCTTTCGCTGTTTTATTAACTCAATCCTCAGAACAAACCAATGATGTGAATACTGTAATTCTCATTTTATGGAAATGAAAATCTAAATGAATACCTCTGGTAATTGTACGGGACTGTTTGATTAGTATTTACCATTAATTAATTAAATTTTTTTTTTTTTTTGAGATGGAGTCTCGTTCTGTTGCCCAGGCTGGAGTGCAGTGGCACAATCTCGGCTCACTTCAACCTCCGTCTCCCAGGTTCAAGCAATTCTCCTGTCTCAGCCTCCTGAGTAGCTGGGACTACAGGTGCATGCCACTACGTCTGGCTAATTTTTGTATTTTTAGTAGGGATGGGATTTCACCATATTGGTCAGGCTGGTCTCTAACTCCTGAACCTCAGGTGATCCACCCGCCTTGGCCTCCCAAAGTGCTGGGATTACAGGTGTGAGCCACCATGCCTGGCCTATTTTAGTATTTTTAATAATAAATTCCATGTTAGAAATTTTCTACTGATGTATTTTTTAAGTCAATATTTCCTACACTCACAATCCAAAATTATTTAGTATATGAGCACACTGGTAAGAATGGGAGGCAGATCGTTGATTGTAATAATATTCTATTATTTGGTAAATATCAGTAACATAATATATAATTTAAATTTTAAAATAGGATATGAAGAAAAATGCTACATGCTTACTTTTCTTTTCCTCTATTTTTACTTTACACAGGGCCAGTGCCTCAGTTTCAATCCAGGTAACCTTTAAATGAAACTTGCCTAAAATCTTAGGTCATACACAGAAGAGACTCCAATCGACAAGAAGCTGGAAAAGAATGATGTTGTCCTTAAACAACCTACAGAATATCATCTATAACCCGGTAACTGATTTCTATAAGATAACTTTTTACCTATGCCAGGACAGATCCAATAGAATATTAATTATCCATTGGGAGACAGGGCAAGAATAAAAGCCAGTGAACATATTTAAAGCACCTACTATGTAATAGAGATGGTGGTGGGTGCTGATTACAAAACAGCTCTTGTCCTCTAGTGGAGGAAGAAGTCACAATGATAATATGACGTGATGAAACAGTGTTATGAACAGGGAACGTCTGGGTAGAGTGGAGGGAATGCCAACTTTTGGTGATGGGAGGAGGCTCAGCTAATCATAAATTGTAGTTTTTAAAGGAAAATGGATTTCTTACTCTACAAGTTTTTCATTTTCTTTTTTAATTAGAGCTGTCCATGAGAAGTTAATGTCTCGATCTTTCCCTCAGCCTTTCAAATACTGCTTGGCCCTTGAGCAGGGAAAATGTCAAAAGCCAATGGGGAGATGGAGAGTGTGAAGTAGTAAGGGTCTCGTGCAGTTCAGGCAGGTCCTAGAATCCCTGAATGACTGTAATTGCTGGAAATTGCCCTGTAATCCTGAGCAGTAAAGAGCTTGTTTTAGTTTTATGTGGTGGTGAGAATCTTTAGGAATGTCTAGTTTCCACGTATCTGAAGCTGAATCCTGAATCGAGGTCTGAAAAAGGACAGCCACTTTTTTAGTAAACCGCCTAGAAGATTCTTGGGCAAAAGGAAGGGTGAGAATCCTTAAAATGAGGCCCTAAACCAGTTTTGTTAGTGTGTGTGGGTTCAAGTTTTTGTCATTTACTTTATAGCTGTATTTCCTTTTTCCCTAAGTTTTAATGTCATTGTGTAAGAATGAGGTATCGCTGCTGTATCAAGCAAAGTCAGTTTTAGGAGAAATAGCCTTTCAGTGGTAGTAAGTTTAAAAAAGATGACTTCCTGAAGCGGAAGCTTGTGAGACATTTAAGATGACTTTGCGCATGTTAGAGTTAAAAACATCCCAAGGTTGTAAACTGATTTCCTGCAAAGATCTTAACAACAACAACAACAACAAACTAGGCTGCCTGCCACGGGTGTCTGAAGTATCATCTTGGCTCAAGCTGGGAGAATGGATAAAGGTTACACTGTTCATTTCTGCCCTTCACACAGAAAAGAAGATAATTTTATAGGTAAAATTCGTGCATATCTTGATTCTAGCATACTGCTGATTCCTGTAGTTTCTGGGGTCAGTACTCTCAACTATTGAGGTGGAACAAAAATAAGTAGACTTCATTTCTTGAGGAAGGGGATCTGGAGAAGTAGTTCTGCGCTAGAGCAGAAAATGCCTTCAGTCTTGTGGCATGGGCTGGATGCTGTTCTGAGGATAATGCATTTCCAAGGGAGATATTTTTGGCAAATAGCTTTTTTTTCTTTCTTTTCAAAATTCTCTGTTTTATTATCAGTTCTCACAAAAGAGTCGGAAAGGTTAGAGGTAGACTGAACTGAATGGCAAAAACATTTTGCGCTCTCTTTACGTTTCACTGCTGTAAAATATTTATAGTATAAAGGGCCTGTATTGCACTGAATTTCTCTCATTTGTAGCTAGTTGCCCTTTCAATGTTCCAAAAAAAAAGGCTGTAAATAACTTATTTTATTTATTCAATTAATTTTTTTTTTTTAATTTTTTGAGATATAGTTTCCCTCTGGTCACCCAGGCTGGAGTGAAATGATGCAATCTCGGCTTACTGCAATTTCTGCCTCCCGGGTTCAAGCAATTCTAGTGCCTCAGCCTCCTGAGTAGCTGGGACTGCAGGCACGTGCTACCATGCCCGGCTAATTTTTGTGTTTTTAGTAGATATGGGGTTTCACAGTGTTGGCCAGCCTAGTCTCAAACTCCTGACCTCAGGTGATGTGCCCACCTTGACCTCCAAAAGTGCTGGGATTACAGGCGTGAGGCACCATGCCTGGCCAACTTAGTTATTTAAAGATAATCAATTAGTATATTTTATAAGCTAGACTTAGGAAAACGGTTTTCAGCTGGGCATGGTGGCTCACACCTGTAATCCCAGCACTTTGGGAGGCCGAGGCAGGTGGATCACGAGGTCAGGAGTTCAAGACCAGCCTGGCCAAGATGGCGAAACTCCGTCTCTACTTAAAAATACAAAAATTAGCCAGGCGTGATGGCAGCCTCCTGTAATCCCAGCTACTCGGGAGGCTGAGGCAAGAGAATCACTTGAACCTGGGAGGCGGAGGTTGCAGTGAGCCGAGATGGTGCCACTGCACTCCAGCCTGGGTGACAGAGCGAGACTCCATCTCAAAAAAAAAAAAACCCCCCCACACACAAAACCTGTTTTCTTGAATCATGGTTGTTTTGTTACTGATAGGTTCAATAAGTAAATATATTTATTGTCTGTTGTATTCTTTATTAGGCATTATAAACACACCGCCACTTTTTAATTTTTATTTCATTAATGTTTCCAATTTTTTTTTTTTTTTTTTTTTTTAAGACAGAGGCTCGCTCTGTCATCCAGGCTGGAGTGGAGTGGTGCAGTCTTACCCCACTGCAACCTCCACCTCCTGGGCTCAGCCTTGTAAATAGCTGGGACTACAGGCATGCACCACCATGCCTGGCTAATTTTTGTATTTTTTTTGGTAAAGACAGAGTTTTGCCATGTTTCTCAGTCTGGTCAAGCACTCCTCCCGCCTCGGCCTCCCAAAGTGTTGGGATTACAGGCATGAGCCACCATGCCTGGCCTATTTCTAATATTTTGGTCCACATTGGTGTTAGACCAACTGTCCACATTAAGTTTTCTTGGAAAAGATGAAGTAAATATTGCAACTGGCCTATGTATTTTTTTCCCTATTTAGTATATTTCTTTGACTAGTTCAACTGATAGAATTCCAAGACTTAAAAAAGTCAGGCTCTAAGGCTGGGTCCAGAGGCTCATGCCTGTAATTCCAGCACTGTGGGAGGCCAAGGCTAGTGGATCACTTGAGCCCAGGAGTTCAAGACCAGCTTGAGCAACATAGTGAGACCTTGTCTCTCTATAAAAATACAAAAATTAACTGGGGATTGTGGCGCATGTCTGTAGTCCCAGCTATGAGGAAGAGTGAGGTGGGAGGATTGCTTGAGCCCAGGAGGTTGAGGCTGCAGTGAGCTGTGAGTTTGACACTGTGCTTCATTCTGGGTGACAGAGCAAGAACCATGTTCAAAAATAAAAATAAAAAGTCAGAGTCCGGGTGCTGCGGCTCATGCCTGTAATCCCAGCACTTTGGGAAGCCGAGGCGAGAGGATCACTTGAGGTCAGGAGTTCGAGACCAGCCTGACTAACACAGTGAAACCCCGTCTCTACTAAAAATACAAAAATTAGCCGGGCATGGTGGCGGTGGCCTGTAATCCCAGCTACATGGGAGGTTGAGGCAGGAGAATCACTTGAACCCGGGAGGTGGAGGTTGTAATGAGCCAAGATTGCACAACTGCACTGCATCCTGGGCGACAGAGTGATACTTCATCTCAAAAAAAAAAAAAGAAAAAAAAAGTTAGGCTTCCTTTTCTGTTTTTTTTTTTTTTTCTTTCTTCTCTTTTTTTTTTTTTTTTTAAGAGATGGAGGCTTGCTCTATTGCCCATGCTGGAGTGCAGTGGTGCAATCTCGGCTCACTGCCACCTTTGCCTCCTGGGTTCTAGCAATTCTCCTGCCTCAGCCTCCCGAGTAGCTGGGACTACAGGCGCACACCGCCACGCCCCGCTAATTGTTCTTTTGTATTTTAGTAGAGACGGGGTTTCACCATGTTGGCCAGCCTGGTCTCGAACTCCTGAGCTCAGGCAATCCGCCCGCCTCGGCCTCCCAAAGTGCTAGGATTATAGGCGTGAACCACCGTGGCTGGCCACTTACTTTTCTTTCTATTGAATTTGAATGAATAATTTGGAAGACAGTATCTTTACTTCATACCAGGAATGCTGCCAGTGAAATTTCTTGTTTGGCAGTTCATTATCTACCTATATATTTAATTTTGCTATTGTTTATAGAGTTCTTAAGATATGATTAAATGCTAGCTGGTTAAGAAATCATTTAGAAATGAAACAGAATTGGTTGTTACTCCAAGTTAATAAGTTGCTTGTCAACATAAATCCTACCTGGTACCCAGTTTTCTTAGGAACCTTGCTTCCATGTTTATCCTTTTCTGCTTAGTATTCTAAGTACTCCTTTTTTACCTTACAATTTAGTCTTAAAACACAACACAGTCAAGTCTTTCTTTTGTAACCTGTGAGATACCTTCTAGCCTTTGTGCTGTTTTTCTTCTCTTTTTGCTGCCTGCCTTCCTGACTGAGAGTGGATTTCCTCACTAAGGCTCTGCCCTCTGATTTTTCACTCTCTTTTCTTTTTTGGTTTTACTAGTGAAATTTTGTCTTTAATGTCTCTTTCTTTTATGTCTTTACCGATCACTCATAGATTTTTTTTTCCATATGTATCCAGTTCCAACCTTTCACCTAATGTGAACCCCCAACTCTCAGTTGCTCAGCCAGCCCTTCAAGACTAGGAGTTCAAAACCAAACTTGCATCTTCCTTCCCAAACCAGCTTTCCTCTTGCAGTTTTCTGCAGCAGGATCCTTCTGCTGTTTAACTTTTGCCTCCTCCCTTGTTTCCTAGCACCCAATAGTTGGAAGATAGTCTGTCTTCAAAATTTTAAACTACATTTATGTCCAAACCAGTGGCTTTTCCTTTTAAAAAAATTTAAAGATAATATGTGCAAATCATTTTTTTAAAATTCAAACAGTATTTAAGAGTTTCAGTGAAACATGCATTTTCCTTCTACCCTGGTACTTAGTTTTACTCCCCAAGGGCAATCACTTTTTACTGGTTTTTAGAAATATATCCTTCCTGAGATACTTATGAATATCCAAAAGTGTGTGTGTTGTGTATATCACCTTTTATATATCCTGTCTCTTTACGTGCATGCATTTTACCGTATAAACTGTTTTCTACCCTGCTTTTTCTATTTGACCTATTTTGGAAATGTCATTTTATTTAGAACTTCCTCATTTATTTTAACAGCTGCATAATTAGCAGTAAAACTTATGTAAGCAGTCCCTTGTGAAGGGCTGTGTCTTTTTGCGATTATATCCGGTGCTATAGTGTACATCCTTGTGTGTGCATCTTGGTGTGCCTGTGCTACGTATTTCTGTAGGATAAATCTGTAAAAGTGGAATCACTAGGTCAGAGGGTATGATCCATTTTCTTTACTTATTTATTTTATTTATTTATTCATTTATTTTTGAGACAGAGTCTTGCTCTGTCGCCCAGGCTGGAGTGCAGTGGCATGATCTTGGCTTACTGCAAGCTCCGCCTCCCGGGTTCACACCATTCTCCTGCCTCAGCCTCCGGAGTAGCTGGGACTACAGGCGCCCGCCACCCACGCCTGGCTAATTTTTTTGTATTTTTAGTAGAGACGGGGTTTCACCATGTTAGCCAGGATGGTCTCGATCTCCTGACCTTGTGATCCACCCATCTCAGCCTCCCAAAGTGCTGGGATTACAGGTGTGAGCCACCGCGCCCGGCCCCATTTTATTATCTTTATTTGCTTGGATCCTTCTTAGCTTCTTCAATGTTAAAGATATTGACAGTTTTCCTCTTACTGAAATTTATAAATCCATTGACTCCCTTGATATTATTGCCCTGGCCTGACTGATTCTTCTCTCTCCTTTCTCTTCTCACCCCATGTTGAGGTCCCCAAGGTCACACCCAGTTTTGATGACTCACCAGCATAGAGTTGTACTTGTGCCTATGATTTATTGCGGTGAAAGGATATAGAGCAAAATTGCAAACGGAAAGGCACCTGGGGTGAATTCCAGGGGAAATCCAGTGCAAGTTCCAAGGTCGCCTCCCAGTGGAGTCACATAGGATGTGCTTACATCCTCCAGCAAGGAGTTGTGACAACACTTGTGAAATGTGGACTGCCAGGGAAGCTCATCAGAGCCTCAGTGCCTAGGGTTTTTACTGGAGGCTGGTCACATAAGCACCCTCACACATATCAAAAAATTCTGGTCCCCCAGAAGGAAAGCAGGTGTTTAGCATAACCATATTATTTGCATGAACAGTTCAGGTACAGGAAATCCCCGTTACCAGTTAGGTTGGTGGGTGCCCTTCCCAAATCCCAAGTTCCCAGACACCAGCCAGGGGCCTGCCTCGTAAGGAGGCCTTTCCAGGACAGCAGTCAGGCCTGCCAATGTTAATTCTTTTCTGCATACCTCCTAATTTTAGAAACCACCGAGCCTTTGCTGCCTGACCTGTCCTGCTTTTCGATTTCTTTATCTACTTTGATATCTTTACAAATGATCTTTACCCTGACTTTTAAATGTGTGCTCTGGCCATTCACCTAGCGTGTGGTTCTGAGTCTCCAAGTCTTAGCAGATTTGCTCTCAGATGCTCTGCCAACGCTTCACACCAAGTATTACAAACTAAACTCGTCATCTTCCTCCTGAAACCTGTCTCCCAGGCCAGGCGCGGTGGCTCACACCTGTAATCCCAGTACTTTGGGAGGCCGAGGTGGGTGGATCACCTGAGGTCAGGAGTTCGAGACCAGCCTGGCCAACTTGGTAAAACCCCATCTCTACGAAAAATACAAAAAAATTAGCCAGGCGTGGTGGCAGGCACCTGTAATCCCAGCTATTCAGGAGGCTGAGGCAGGAGAATCGCTTGAACCCGGGAGGCGGAGATTGCAGTAAGCCGAGATCACGCCATTGCACTCCAGCCTGGGCAACAAAAGTGAAACTCCATCTCAAGAAAAACAAAAAACAAAAAACAAAAAACCTGTTTTCTCCCCAGCTTTGTCATGTATTTAGTGGCCTTATGTAGACAGTTTCCTTTGAAACATCTCTTGGACTTCTCTGCTCTTCCAGGGCCATTGCCACTGACCTGGAATGTGTCCTTATCGTTTCACGCCAGGCTTATGGCAGCAGTCAGTCACCCAGATGACCTCCTGACCTCTGGCTTATTTCACCCCCACTGGACTGTTGTTCCTAAACACTTCTTTCGTATGTCACTCTAAAATCTGACCCTGGCTGTACCTTTCTTTAACTACTCCCTGACTGCGTGCTGAGAGAAGATGGGTCTTGTCTTTTCCTGCCTCTCTGCTTTTGTAAACTGCCATTTCTACCTGAAGTGGCAACTGAAATCATATCTTCTTCATAAACTGTCTTTGGCTACCTCAGTTAGAATTCCTTATCCCATTTTCCTGAAGCATTTCTTTGACTCTTCTTTACTGCTCCCCCACCCTTTTTTTTTTCTTTGAGACTGAATTTTGCTTGTTGCCCAGGCTGGAGTGCAATGGCCCGATCTCGGCTCATTGCAACCTCCGCCTCCTGGGTTCAAGTGATTCTCCTGCCTCAGCCTCCTGAGTAGCTGGGATTACAGTCATGTGCCACCATGCCCGGCTAATTTTGTATTTTTAGTAGAGATGGGGTTTCTCCACGTTGGTCAGGCTGGTCTTCAACTCCCAACCTCAAGTGATCTGCCCACCTTCGCCTCCCAAAATGCTGGGATTACAGGTGTTAGCCACTGCGCCTGACCCCCATTTTTTTTTTTTTTAAAGATGTTGAATTGGTCAGGGTTTGTAGTTACAAGCAACAGAAGCCAACTCTTTAAGCAGAAAAGGAATTTGCTAAATGATAGTGCAGAGTTCTCAGAATCTCTAGCAGGATGAAGAACCAGGCTTGGAGAATAGGTAGCCACAGATACACAAGCATACTGTAGGACGGTTCCCATGAAGAGGCATCTGTTGTCACCACTGGACACAGATGGTACTGTGTCTCTGCTACTCTACCAATGCCACTGCTGTCTCTGACCCCAGATGTAGCTCCCTCTGACCCTGGATGCAGCTCCCTCTGACCCTCGATATAGCTGCCCCTGACCCCGGATGTAGCTGCCTTTGACCCCAGATGTAGCTTTCTCCAAACCCAGATATAGCGGCTGCCCCCTTGCCAGAGTGAATACTGCGTCATTGTGGCTTCTTCTTGTCACTGGTTCTTACTTAAAAGCTGAGCTGGAAGTTCTAATGGGCAGTTTTGTCACCTGCTCTTACCTTGTTGCAGTCTAGATGAGGTCTAATGTTCATAAGCTAGGGGATTTTCAGATATGGAAAGGGATACCAATTTTCAGCAGCCAAATAGAGTATCACATTTTCACTCCATGTTTCCTGGGTGTCTGTTATGTTTCCTGGGTGTCTGACTCTTAGGCTTCTTTCAAGCTGCAGTCTGCCTAATAGAGAGCCTTGCATTTAATCATCAAAAAGGCAAAGCAATATGAATCAGCAAGGGTGTTTTGGGAAATAACAGCAAACCTGACTGTGGCGTAAGCTTGTGGTATTGTCTCCAGTGTGATCAGATCTGTATTTTAATTTTTTAAATGTAAATTAATAATGATCTGTGAATCACCAAAGTAGCTTGGAGTAGCCTAGAAAACAATGTATGTCCTCCGTTTTCACAGAAGCCACATAGTCGTGGGTTAAATGAGTCAGCGGCAGGGCACTGTGTCTCATAGTTAAAAAAAAAAAAAAGTATTACTGAAGTAATGCAGGATCTTTTCTGAAGTAGAAGGCATGATGAACCCAGAAAACTAAAGCAGCAAGTGGCCACCGTTCTTAGCATAGTTGTTTCTCAAACTGGAACAACCTATAAACAGTTGTGAACAAGGTATTAGAAGTGATGGGGGCCGGGTGCGGTAGCTTCTCCCAAAGCTCATTACCTCCCAAAGCAACCCCAGTACTTTGGGAGGATCACTTTGAGCCCAGGAGTTCCAGACCAGCCCGGCCAACATGGCAAAACCCCATCTCTCTAAAAGTACAAAAAATTAGCTGGGCATGGTGGCACATGCCTGTAGTCCCAGCTACTTGGATGGCTGAGGCAGGAGAATCGCTTGAACCCGGGAGGCAGAGGTTGCAGTGAGCTGAGATCACGCCACTGCACTCTAGCCTGGGGGACAGAGTGAGACTCTGTCTCAAAAAAAAAAAAAAAAAAAAAAAAGTGATGGGAATAGATTGTTTTGTCTCAAAAAGCTCTTTCCAACACTAAAATGAAACATATAATTAAAAATATTTTTCTGGCTATAGAAATATCGATGCTTATTATAGACATCTGCAAAGTATGAAAATATATGAAGAAAAAAATTAAAATCCCATCATCCCCCATGAAAACTATTGTTATCATTTTTGTCTGATTTCTTTAGTGTTTCTCTTTTTCTTTTTTTAATTTTTAATTTTTTTGAGTATGTAGTAGGTATATCTATTTATGGGGTATATGGCATATTTTGATACAGGATACAGTGTGTATTAGCAAGGTTTTCTTTTTAATGTTTATATTTATTTAGTTGAGATCATACTATATATGGCTCTATAGATTACTTTCTCACTTATATTACTAACTTGTGTTATTAAATATTCTGCATAAAGATAATTTTAAGATGAAATTTGATGTTATAAAAACTTCTCATTTTATTAAGAGATTAACGCTATGAAACCTGCTGCTATATATTCTTGGAACCAGCTGTGACCCAAAAGATCAATGTAGGGATGTAGGTCCTTCCCCATTCTCTACACACAAAATCAGATACTCTGATGTGCAGCTGTAGCCCCAGTCTACACTGTCTGTTGTATTTTTTGTTTTCTGGTGTCATGTGCCTCCCACCCTGCTCCTAGCAATTGCCATGACAACAAATAGATAATTGGCTTCCGTAATTTCTCATCTTATTGCCTAAGGCAACAGAGAGCTTGTGGGCTCAGCTTGCGGTTCAGCAGCTGCTTTGTTGCCTCTCCTCTGTATGTGTGAGGCCTGCCAGAGCCCACTTTCCAGACAGGTGAGAGTTCATTCATTCACCATGCAGTTACCGATCGTCTCTTGACCTGTGTCCTGGGGAGGTAAAGGTGATGAGCCAGTTCTGCCCCATGCAGCTCACAGTCTAGGCAAAGCTACATGCAAACAAACAGAATCCAAAGTGCTATCATGAACCCTCTGAGAGGGGCTGACTCAGCAGCCCAGGGAGCTTGAAGAAGGCTCCACAGAGGAGGCTGTGCCTCAAGGCGATTTCGGTTTAGGAGCCACCAATTTATAACCACTTTTCTGTGGCCCGTCTTATTTTATTTCTTATTTCTTGACAATCAGAAGTACCTTGGGTAGGTTTTACCATGCACATCGTAATTTGAGTGAGCTTAGTGTGAGGCTTAACGGTGTGTGGGCTGTACATCCTGGTCAGATGCTCTAGATGGAGGCAGATGGTTGTGATGCAGGAGAGGCAGCCACATAGCACAGGTCCCCAGCCAGTGGACTGGGAAGACAGTGTAGTCATCTCTGGGGAAGGGGAATGACAAGATCTGGCAGTGTGGCAGGTCCCAGAAAAAAAGGGCTGGGTTCTGGGCAGTGAGGGTGCAGGTTGAGACCTGAATACTGGGTGGAGCCAGCTGTCAGAGTCCACGCCTGCAGACTGGACTGGTCCACGGCAGGTGGATGCCATGTCTTGAAGACCCACAGGCACCCACTCATCCTCATGATCATGCAGTTCTCTGGTTTCTAACAGTGCAGTCTGGGTTGCAGTCTGGGAGTCCAGCAGAGAAGAGCAGGCCCTGGAATCCCAGGTGTGGGGGCGTGGCTTAACGTGGAGTTTCCTTCAGAGGCAGTGAGTGCTTGTCATTGTCTCCGTCAGCATTGGCTTTGGGCCTAGTGTGGCCTCGAACCTTCTGTTGGGATCAGCAGTGGAACAGTAGGAAAAGGAATGAGTAGACATGGCATTGCAACAAGTCTTTTTTTTTTTTTCTGTTAGAATTATCATATTAAGCAGAAGTTTTGCTTCACAAACTCTCAGCCAAATACAAAATACTATGAATAGTATTTACCTTGTGTCTCTTTCCAAAGAACTCATAGTGGTTTGCAGCTATTGCAGATATCCTGGCCATGAGGTATGCAGTTCCTTTTTTTTTTTTTGAGACGGAGCCTTGCTCTGTCGCCCAGGCTGGAGCATAGTGGCGCGATCTCGGCTCACTGCAAGCTCCGCCTCCCAGGTTCGTGCCATTCTCCTGCCTCAGCCTCCCGAGTAGCTGGGACTACAGGCGCCCACCACCACACCCGGCTAATTTTTGTATTTTTAGTAGAGACGGGGTTTCACCGTGTTAGCCAGGATGGTCTCGATCTGCTGACCTCGTGATCCTCCCGCCTCGGCCTCCCAAAGTGCTGGGATTACAGGCGTGAGCCACCGCGCCCGGCCGCAGTTCCTTTTTCTAGCTGTTTGAATAGGAAAGATGACTTGGAAAATGCTGGATTCTGAGCAGATTTATGTGCAGCCTTAAAAAGTGTAGTTTTTCTCTATCAATAATGAGTGTGGGTTGTAATTGCTTAGTAAGTAATTTTGTTTATGTAAACGTACATTTGTTAAATTTTTTTTCTTAGGTAATCCCGTTTGTTGGCACCATTCCTGATCAGCTGGATCCTGGAACTTTGATTGTGATACGTGGGCATGTTCCTAGTGACGCAGACAGGTAAAATCACTGTGCTAAAGGAAGGAGCATGAATAGGCTGTCTTTTTGTGATTGTGGAATGATAACAGAGTAAGGCGGGAGAGACCATTTGATACTTTGAGGCCCAATTAGCTTTCATCAGCAGCCCTGGCCAAGGTGCTGAGGAGATTGGAATGAATGACTAAATAAAGGTTATTGGGATTTATTTCATTGCTGTAAGTCTGATTTCAGTATAAAAAATTAGAACTATCAGCTGGATGTGGTGACTTAAACATACTTTTCCAGCACTTTGGGAGGCCAAGGCAGGAGGATTGTTTGAGGCCAGGAGTTTGAGACCAGCCTGGGCAACATAGTGAGACCCCCCATCTGTAAAAAAAAAAAAAATTTAAAAATTAACTGGCTTGGTGGTGTGCGCCTGTAGTTGTAGCTACTCAGGGGGCTGAGGTAGGAGGATTCCTTGAGCCCAGGAGTTTGAGGTTGCAGTGAGCTGTGATCGAGCCACTGCACTATAGCCTGGGTGACAAAAAAAAAAAAGAAAAAGAAAAAGAATTAGGTATGTCATTAAAGAAAGGAATTGTGGTCAGATGACAGGGACAGTCTAGTTTTAGTCTGACATTCCCACAGCATTACAGATCTAGTTCAGATGGTTTTACTGAATACCTGCTTTGGATACAAGCTGTGGTATCATTAGTGTTGGGCTCAGCTCTGTGTACCTAACACCTGAAGAGCAGTGGTTTAAGATGTGAAAATTAAGTCTCAAGGAGACAGCCCAGGCCTTTTCAGTTAACTCCTTCAAGTCGTTAGAGAAGTAGACTCCTTCGAGCTCACCACTCTGTTATCTTGAGGGTGAGGTAAGGTCCCCTTTCCCGTTTTCCTTGGCAGCCAGATTTCCAGCCCTCACTTCTGTGCTTTGGGTAGCTGGATGGGTGCATGTGGTGTTTGCGGGGAAACAGAGCTGGACAAAAGGCAAGTGCTTGCTGACTTCTAAGGCAGTTTCCAGTAGCCTTCCCTGAGCACTTCACTTCCATCTTACCAGCAGAGCTTTAGCTGCACAGGCAGGCCTAGCTGCGAGGGAGGCTGGGAAAGGTAGGTTTTTATTCTGGGCAGATTCAGACCCAGTTCAAACTCAGGGGCTATTTTACTGAGGAAGACAGAAAAGATTAGACAGTCAGCTCTTTAGGCCTCATAGTGAATGAATGAGGAGGGATTGGTCAGTCCCTTGTCACTGGGCCTGGAGTGTAGTGCCTGCTGGTCCTTTACTGGTGGCTTTCCTTTCTGAGCACTCATGGGGCCCCTGTGTCTTCCCTCATATAGATTCCAGGTGGATCTGCAGAATGGCAGCAGCATGAAACCTCGAGCCGATGTGGCCTTTCATTTCAATCCTCGTTTCAAAAGGGCCGGCTGCATTGTTTGCAATACTTTGATAAATGAAAAATGGGGACGGGAAGAGATCACCTATGACACGCCTTTCAAAAGAGAAAAGTCTTTTGAGATCGTGATTATGGTGCTGAAGGACAAATTCCAGGTAGGTTTTGGAGAGGGACAGGTTGAGTCCTCATTAGTGAGCAGGAGTGCACAGGGGTGCTTTTCACATTTGTGAGCCCAGCCTTATATTTCCTACACCTGAGATATAGTTTGTTTGGCTTTGTAGTTTTTCTCCATAAAAGGACCAGGAAGGCACCTAAATGTGAGGTATGGCACCACTACTCTCCAGCCAGTTGTTGCCATGCAGAAATATGGTCCACTGTGACCAGATCTTTTTATTAGATCCTATTTCTCCTAGCAGGGCTGAGTTCCGAATTGACACAGTATTATGTTCATGATGGGAGGGTAAGTTATAATATAACCGCCACCACCCGAAGAGCTAACAAGGGCAATCCCAGCGAAGAAATCAGAAGGGTTTTGTAAATTCAAGTCTTGCCACAAGACAGTTCCGTAGGATCATGAGATTTTAGACCCAGAGGAGATCCTAGAAATCCTTGATGTCAGTTCCATCTCTGGCTTCATGGAGTGTCTTGTACCTAGCGTGTATGTGTACGGTTGAATTTGGTCCCAGAAGCTTACACCTGCTGGCCCTCTGGCCTGTGGAGCTTGCCCACAGTAGAGGTATGTACCAACGCGAGAGAAGACTCGAATGCCTCTGGCGCAGATCCTTTCTGATCTTCGGGATACTGCTCCTGCCCGAAAGTCTTTCTGAATCTCCCAAACTCCATTCACCTCTCCCTTCTCTGGCCTTTTGAGCCCGTGTCTGTATCATTCTTTTTCACAGTTTTTAACAGTTGTGCTTTGGCTTTACGTGTTTATTTTGCCTCCACAATGGGATTTTAAGCTCCCTGAGTCAGAGACTATATTGTATGCTGCTCGCGTTTTCTGCCTATAACCTAACGTGGTACCTGGCATTTGAGAGGGAGGGAGGAGGAGCCTCGTAGCGTGCCGAGGACCTGCAGAAGCTACTTTCTCGTCATCTTACTGTAGTCTGTTGAGGTAGAGACTGTTCCTACTTCAGAATAAGAAAACCGAATTCAAATATGTTGGGTAACTTGTCCATATTAATTTATTTAGCAAATACAACAGATTTTGAGTGTCTGCCACATGGGTGGTCTCCAGGGACAGTGTTGTGGGGAGCTCGCAGGCAGATCTTTAACCTGGGTTCACAATCTCCAGGGCACCTGTGCCTGGGCTTCCAGGCGACCTTCGAACCCAGATGTCTCACATGTATGCAGAGGCGCACACAAGCACACGCACATATACTTATGACTGCCTGTTTGTCTGGGGAGAGACAGTTCCTGGTGCTTAATCAAATCAGGAACTCAAAAGAAGTTTGGAAGCACTGCTAGTGTTTTGGGTGCTTTCGGTTACCATTTGGTCATGTGTGTGGAGACCTGTGGGAACAGGTATAAAACTGGACGCAAGGAAACATTTAAATTTGGATAATAAGTTAATTTATTAACTGTTTTTTTTTGGTGGCGGGGGGGGCTCTGTCTTCTGTATCTCTCTAGGTGGCTGTAAATGGAAAACATACTCTGCTCTATGGCCACAGGATCGGCCCAGAGAAAATAGACACTCTGGGCATTTATGGCAAAGTGAATATTCACTCAATTGGTTTTAGCTTCAGCTCGGTGAGTGACCTTCCACAGCTTGGGGTCTTTTATGAGGATGGTTTCTGATGAGATGGTAGAAAAAATCTTCAAATAACACTTCTATTGACATAAAAAGGACGTATCTCCCTGACTGTAGTATTAATTTTTTGGAAGTGAACTGTTCACACTAGCAGAAGGCTGTTTATCAGCCAGGGCTTCATTGTCTGTAGGATCTCAAACCTAGTGTGGTTTTAATAAAACACACACAGTTTTTAGCTGGGTAGCAGCTATTTCCTTTGCATGGGCATAAAATGGAGTATTTCTGTAAGACAGGTTCCTAGGCTGGGAGTGCCTGAGTCAAAGAGCACAGTCATGTGTTGCATAAGGACAGTTCAGTCAAAGATGAACCACATATACAACCGTGGTCCCATAAGATTGTCATATACTGTATTTTTACCATACCTTTTCTATGTTTAGGTAAGTTTATATGCACAAATACTTACCATCCTGCTCTGGTTGCCTACAGTATTTGGTACAGTGCCTGCTGTACAGATTCACTGGCCAGGAGCTATAGGCCACACCCTACAGCCTAGGTGTGTAGTTGGCAGTACCATCTAAGGTTGTTAAGTAATATTCTGTGATGTTTGCACGATGACAAAAGTCATGTAAGGACACATTTCTCAGAACATACCCCCTTCGTTAAGCAACACATGACTGTCTTTGCATTGAAAATTTTGATAGATACTAACTCGCCCTTCACAAGGGTAAAAACAGTTTGCACTCTCAACAGCCATGCTCCCACCTTCTTGCTGACATTACATCTTATTCTCTGTAATGTTTGCCAATCTGATGGGGGGCGGAAAGGACCACAGTGTCAAGTGTATTTTTGGATCATAGTTTTCAAGCATATTTTTAGTACCATTTATAATTTTTTTATATGTCAATATAAAATATTTAGAAAATATTTTCTACTGGATGTTACAAATTAATCTTTATTATCTTTTCTCAGGACTTACAAAGTACCCAAGCATCTAGTCTGGAACTGACAGAGATAAGTAGAGAAAATGTAAATATTAAATCTTTTAATGAGCCACTGGTTTAAAAATGTTGTTTTAGCTGCCATGTTAATGAAATGGCAAGAAGGCTGGGTTTTTGAAAATTATGCTTTTAGAACGCAAGTAATCACTTGAAAATTGAGATACATACTTGTGGTGCCAGGCACGCAGTAAGTTTTTGCTGATGATTCACCTGTCAGTTTCTGTAACTGCCACTCACTGTTCTTATGTAAAAAGCACTCTCTCACTCTTAACTGCTGAATAGTACTGTTCTGGGGTATTTCCAAATATTGAACATCAGCCAGTGCACTGGCAAATGAACTTCCATGTGTATCTTCAACCCCTGGGAGAATAACTGCAATTTAAAAATGCGCTGTTATTAATGGAGAAAGTGAGGTCTTACCGACTGGCACGTTCACACCTCACAGACAGAACAGAATCTTAGCATTCTGGGGGCACCCTGGAAAGGACAACTAAGACACGTTTGAAGTTCATGTAGTGCTGGGTGAAGGTGGTGGCTCAGGCCTGTAGTCCCAGCGCTTTGGCTGAGGTGGGGGGATTGCTTGAGCCTAGGAGTTTGAGATCAGCCTGGGCCACATAGGGAGAACCCCATCTCTACAAAAAATTAAAAAATTATCTGGGCATGGTGGCGCATGGCTGTGATCCCAGCTTTGGGTGGCTGAAGTAGGCGGATGACTTGAGCCCAGGAGGTTGAGGCTGCAGTGAGCCATGATTGAGCCACTGCATCCCAGTGTGGATGACAGAGTAAGACCCTGTCTCTTAAAAAAATTTCATATAGTTCTATGAAAAATTATTAATTTATGGTGGAGGATAAAGGACTCAGATGAACAGGGATATCAGACTCTCTTCTCAACCCGTGTAGCCCTTCACAACACCATACCATTCCGTCATAAAGCACCAGCTGCCTGGAGGTCACACCAGAGTGGAGCAGGAACATCCCAGGCTCCGGCCAGGCTCAGCTCAGCACAACCAAGACTTCAGATTATAAACTATAATTCTTCCCCTTCTAACATTGTTGTGTTTTGTTTCTTTTCCAATAGGTTCCAAAGTCTGGCACGCCCCAGCTTGTGAGTATTTTTGCCTGGGTTATTTCATGTGGAATATTTTATAAAGTTGCATAGAAAATGAACAGTTTAAACCGTGGAGGGCAGCTTCATTCATTCCATTCCTTACTGTAGAACTGTTTCCCTACAGCCTAGTAATAGAGGAGGAGACATTTCTAAAATCGCACCCAGAACTGTCTACACCAAGAGCAAAGATTCGACTGTCAATCACACTTTGACTTGCACCAAAATACCACCTATGAACTATGTGTCAAAGGTTTGAAGAGCACCAAATTTTCTTAACTCTATATAAAAATTAAGTTGTAATGAGCTGTTACGAGTAACCTGTATCCACAATAGAGGCCCAAAGCAGCCCCCTCTGCATTTGTGTGCCGTCCCTGGACGGATTCGAGAGTCAACCAGGCCTGCCTCTGAGCCATTCCTGTGTATTTCCTCAGCACCTCCCTGCTTGGCTGCTTCCCCTTCAGGCAGAACACAGTACTGCCTCAGACCCCAGGCACAGGGGGCCTTCCTGGCGTGTTTCACTCATACAGAGGGCATCGGGTCCCACCCTGTCACTCATTTCATCGTCTAAAATGTAATCATGTGTGTTTGCTTCGAGCCAGGGACAGTGCTGCTGCAGGGGACCCAGCTGGGACCAAGGCAGACTGTCTCTCCCCTCCTGGGATTTACAGGGTCATGGCTCTGAAACATTCCGTAGTGTTCTTTGGACACGAGTTTTCCCTGGAGATCGCTTTCTGCAGGCCTCTTGGTCCTGACTGTGGCTTCTTTTCAGAGGCTGCCATTCGCTGCAAGGTTGAACACCCCCATGGGCCCTGGACGAACTGTCGTCGTTAAAGGAGAAGTGAATGCAAATGCCAAAAGGTCAGTATCCTTCGGTACCAGTCACAGTGCAGATACTTCCGTGCCTGTTACCGCCTTCCACCCGTGAACGGTCCTGTGAGCTGGAAGAAGGGCTAGCGTCAGAATCTTCATTTCCAAAGTGAGATGATTCAAGCAGGAGGTGGTTAGATTGTGAACAGCCAGTGGGCAGCAGAGCCGACTAAGGCCGTGTTCTGACCTCGGCTTTTTCTGGCCAGACAAGAGAGTAGCATTTTTGTCCACGAGGCCTATCCTTGCCTTGTAGAACTCCAGAGCAGCCCCGTAAGATCAGGCAACATCTTTTCTTTTTTTTTTTTGAGATGGAGCCTCACTGTGTCACCCAGGCTGGAGTGCAGTGTCACAATCCCAGCACACCACAACCTCCGCTTCCTGGGTGTTCAAGCCATTCTCCTACCTCAGCCTCTGGAGTAGCTGGGATTACAGGCGCACCACCACGCCCAGCTACTTTTTGAATTTTTGTATTTTTAGTAGAGACAGGGGTTCACCATGTTGGCCAGGCTGGTCTGGAACTCCTGACCTCAAGTGATCCGCCCACTTCGCCCTCCCAGTGCTGGGATTACAGGTGTGAGTCACCACGCCCAGCCCAGGCAACATTTTTTAGGGCCCCTCTTGTCATGTGATTTAGAAAATTTCTGCTTTAACAACTTTTTCCACAGACGTCCAGCCTTCTGAAAGCTTGAAATTAGAGCTATTTCCTAGAAAGTGGCATACTTTCAAGAAGGAAGGAACACGGGTAGATGATGAAAAGAGAATACCTGCTTGAGAGGATCCCAGGCTCCTGCAGCCTGAAGTAGTCATTCAGTTTAGCGTTAAACCTTCCATTTCTGTCCAACCACATCTCAGCCTCAACGCTGATTTTAAAGGGTTTTTTTTTTCGTATTTTTATTTTGCAAGTAACGAATTAGTGGAATGCTGACTGGGTTTAAAATTTCAACTTCACCTGCATTCCCATGTCCATGTGGATACGTGTGTTTCATAGAGTTAGAATCATAGTTCAAGTCTGGTCACTAACATTGCTGAAATTGCCACTACTCTGTCCTACTTGGTTAATTAAGGTTTTTTTTTTTCTTTCTTTCTCAAAAGCTTTAATGTTGACCTACTAGCAGGAAAATCAAAGGATATTGCTCTACACTTGAACCCACGCCTGAATATTAAAGCATTTGTAAGAAATTCTTTTCTTCAGGAGTCCTGGGGAGAAGAAGAGAGAAATATTACCTCTTTCCCATTTAGTCCTGGGATGTACTTTGAGGTGAGGTTACAGTTTTTGAAAATGGGACAGCAATAAGAATCCTGGGAGCAGGGGTGGGATAAGTGGTCCATTTAAATCAAGTCCTAACTCAGTATGTGGAAGTTGTGTATGTTTTTTGTTTACTTGGAGATTGTAATTTGCCCCTTTTTATAACGTGGGCAATCAGTATAAATGGCAAAGCCAGTAGAGTGTCAAATTATGCACATTGGAATTGACATTTGTCATCATATTAAAATTCCTGTGTAGCCCCATATTGATAGGAATTTAACCAGGAAGCTTGTCTCAGGACTGGAGTCACACATTTAATCATATAAGCAGACTTGAGGACGTGGAGACCCTAAAACTGCTTGCTTGCACTGGCCATCATCTCCCATCAGGGTAGACGGTTTCAGGTGGCAGTCCTTTCTCCTAAGGAGTTAGTCTTGTTTGTATGTATTCAAGGAAAAATACATCAGTCCCTTGGAACTAAAAGGCATGCAGTCCTGAGTCCCCAGATAGGTGAATATTGTAACACATACCTTTCCCGAAATATGTTTCTGGGATGCTGAGCAGAGAATAGTCTCCTTGTGATGCGGATGCCGGGTGTTTGGCCAGCCTCAATCACCAGCTCAGGTGCCACTGCCTCACACAGTCACTTAGGGTCATTGGTTTAGGTTATCATTCTACAGCATTTTAAACTGACACATTGTCTGGACCATGTGGGTTCTTGAGGACTCATCAAAACTCGTTACTAAAAGCATGAATATCAGGCGGAATAGATAGCAATGTGACATTCATATTTATCCCTAAGTTCCAGTCTAATGCAGTGCCCTGGTATGTGGAGTGTAGACAGATGTGGGCTAATCATGGAAGGTTCCCTGAAGTTGTGGATATTGGTTTGGAATTCAGAAAGCTGGGAAGGATGTGGAAGGCTGAAGGTTGGCTTTTCTAGATTTAGGGCATGATTTGAACAAGTCCTTAGAGGTGGGAAGGGCAGCACAGGGTTGTTAGCTTGGCAAGAGTCAAGGCGCAAAGGGTGACTTGGGGTTCACTGGAGGGAAACAGAGGTGAGTGCTCTAGAAGGAAGTTGAGCCTTGTGGTGGGTGACAGGAAACCAATGATGTAACTTGTTTTTGACCTATCTGGGCCCCAAGTTTGGATCTGCTATATTAATATAAAAAAGGATAATAATGATACATTCAAATAATGCTGAAAAATACTAAGATGAAAATACCTCCAACTTCATAATTCAAACCATACCATTAGGATTAGGTGAACCACATTCCAGGCATTTTTTTGCAGAGACAGTGAAAGGGATGGCTGGCTGAAGGAATGAATAGATGAATGTTATATGCTTTTGAACAATCGTCTTTTCCATTTAATTTTCTAATTCAGGAGCAGTAATTATCCTTGTGTTGATCACTGCTGACGATTTTCTATACTGATAGGTCCTTTCCGGGGGCTTCCATCTCTTGCCTTTTAAATATGCTTGCATTGAGATTATCTCAGGTCTTTCCATTATGCCATTACTTTCATTTTAAATCTTCTTGCTCTTTCAAATACACTTTAGTTGTATCTACAGTTTTTTAAAAACAATCTCATTCAGTGTTGTAATTTCATCTGTGGGCTCTTCCTCTGGATGAAATCCGTGTTCCAGCTGTTCGGCAGCATCAGATGGTTGTGAGGGATTCTGTTGTTCTGTTTTCTTCTAGGCAAAGGATGTGCCTTCTTTTCATTTGCAGTAGTCTGCTCACCCGGAAGCATGTCATTTCTTTGCCACTTGCTTGTAATTCACTGGCTTTGCACTTGCTCTGATACAGTACAGGTAACTAATTGACTCCCTCTGCTGCCAACTTGGTTTTCCTTCTGAGCTATAGCATCAGGCTGTGTGTTTTGTGTTTTCTTGAGATTTTGTTAAATATATCTGGGGTCCCTTCTACCTGGTTGGAACTGGGATTCCCACCATTCTTGTGGGGATAGAATCTCAGGTTACACCTATTTCCCCAATCCTCTGTAGCCACAGAAGCTTCATCTTGGCCAGCTGTTATCAGAGTGCAGGACTTGGGCTGAAATTTCCTCCCCTTCCTGATTTTCCTTGACAGTCCTTTCCACTGCTCCTATCAAAAGAATGGAAACCCTCAACTTGCTGCTTTGCAGATTCAGGTTTTGTGCTTCATTCTGGCCTCTCGGGGTGGGGCCGGGTTAGCAGCAAGGCTGAGCTGCCCCTCTTTCTTCTGAAGCCTTCATGGGGGCGAGGAGCACAGGGAGAGCTCAGTGCAGGGCCTCCCAGTGGCCTTCTCAGAGTGGGTGGAAACCCAGCCTGGCACTGGCAGCGTGGCACCAGAAGTATGAAGTGTAGGTGTAAAGGTGATGTAAAAGGCTAGTAGGTTTTTTGGTTTTTCATTGTTTGAGTTTTGGGCATAGATGACTGTGAAGGGCGAACACTGCCGATGGATCTGAATTTGTAGTATGTGCACCACTTCCAACTTACGGGATACCCAGCTTTGACGGCTTTGGACAAACACACTGAGGCCAAGATGTGCTGAGCTTATCAGGATCAGGATCACCAAGCAGCTGTAAAAACCCTAGCAAGTGCCTTAAGCTGCTGAAATTTCATATTAATTGTCTGGTTTGTTCATGGTCCTAGAGTTTGAGGCAGAAAAGTCAGTCAGGATCCAAGTCCCTTGGTTCCAGGCTACAGCTGGAAACAGCATCTCGGTGAACTAAAGCAACCATATTAGGAGTGAGTTTTCCTGCTTTAGGAGAGTCCCCAGCATCGGCGAGGAGGGGCAGCACTCTGGCTTTCCAGGAGCAAGGGGCAGGATGCGGCCGAGGGAGAGGGGCTGTGTTGAGGAAAGGAGGGCCGCAGGCCCTGGGGATGGTGTGAGGCTCCAAACATGTCCGAGTCACTTCCCTGGGTGGGATGAGGCAGACAGTGCCACCACCAGGGACACTTTAGTTAGATTAGGGTCTTGGAAGTCAGAAGGAAGTCAGCAGCAGCAGGCTGGAACTTTTCTATGTATAATCAAATGGTTTACTCTGACACCGTTAGCATGTAACAAACACAAAATTTTAAACTAAGGGGAACCACTAATGGCATGTATCCTTTCCTTTCAGATGATAATTTATTGTGATGTTAGAGAATTCAAGGTTGCAGTAAATGGCGTACACAGCCTGGAGTACAAACACAGATTTAAAGAGCTCAGCAGTATTGACACGCTGGAAATTAATGGAGACATCCACTTACTGGAAGTAAGGAGCTGGTAGCCTACCTACACAGCTGCTACAAAAACCAAAATACAGAATGGCTTCTGTGATACTGGCCTTGCTGAAACGCATCTCACTGTCATTCTATTGTTTATATTGTTAAAATGAGCTTGTGCACCATTAGGTCCTGCTGGGTGTTCTCAGTCCTTGCCATGAAGTATGGTGGTGTCTAGCACTGAATGGGGAAACTGGGGGCAGCAACACTTATAGCCAGTTAAAGCCACTCTGCCCTCTCTCCTACTTTGGCTGACTCTTCAAGAATGCCATTCAACAAGTATTTATGGAGTACCTACTATAATACAGTAGCTAACATGTATTGAGCACAGATTTTTTTTGGTAAAACTGTGAAGAGCTAGGATATATACTTGGTGAAACAAACCAGTATGTTCCCTGTTCTCTTGAGCTTCGACTCTTCTGTGCGCTACTGCTGCGCACTGCTTTTTCTACAGGCATTACATCAACTCCTAAGGGGTCCTCTGGGATTAGTTATGCAGATATTAAATCACCCGAAGACACTAACTTACAGAAGACACAACTCCTTCCCCAGTGATCACTGTCATAACCAGTGCTCTACCGTATCCCATCACTGAGGACTGATGTTGACTGACATCATTTTCTTTATCGTAATAAACATGTGGCTCTATTAGCTGCAAGCTTTACCAAGTAATTGGCATGACATCTGAGCACAGAAATTAAGGCAAAAAACCAAAGCAAAACAAATACATGGTGCTGAAATTAACTTGATGCCAAGCCCAAGGCAGCTGATTTCTGTGTATTTGAACTTAGGGCAAATCAGAGTCTACACAGACGCCTACAGAAAGTTTCAGGAAGAGGCAAGATGCATTCAATTTGAAAGATATTTATGGGCAACAAAGTAAGGTCAGGATTAGACTTCAGGCATTCATAAGGCAGGCACTATCAGAAAGTGTACGCCAACTAAGGGACCCACAAAGCAGGCAGAGGTAATGCAGAAATCTGTTTTGTTCCCATGAAATCACCAATCAAGGCCTCCGTTCTTCTAAAGATTAGTCCATCATCATTAGCAACTGAGATCAAAGCACTCTTCCACTTTACGTGATTAAAATCAAACCTGTATCAGCAAGTTAAATGGTTCCATTTCTGTGATTTTTCTATTATTTGAGGGGAGTTGGCAGAAGTTCCATGTATATGGGATCTTTACAGGTCAGATCTTGTTACAGGAAATTTCAAAGGTTTGGGAGTGGGGAGGGAAAAAAGCTCAGTCAGTGAGGATCATTTTATCACATTAGACTGGGGCAGAACTCTGCCAGGATTTAGGAATATTTTCAGAACAGATTTTAGATATTATTTCTATCCATATATTGAAAAGAATACCATTGTCAATCTTATTTTTTTAAAAGTACTCAGTGTAGAAATCGCTAGCCCTTAATTCTTTTCCAGCTTTTCATATTAATGTATGCAGAGTCTCACCAAGCTCAAAGACACTGGTTGGGGGTGGAGGGTGCCACAGGGAAAGCTGTAGAAGGCAAGAAGACTCGAGAATCCCCCAGAGTTATTTTTCTCCATAAAGACCATCAGAGTGCTTAACTGAGCTGTTGGAGACTGTGAGGCATTTAGGAAAAAAATAGCCCACTCACATCATTCCTTGTAAGTCTTAAGTTCATTTTCATTTTACGTGGAGGAAAAAAATTTAAAAAGCTATTAGTATTTATTAATGAATTTTACTGAGACATTTCTTAGAAATATGCACTTCTATACTAGCAAGCTCTGTCTCTAAAATGCAAGTTGGCCTTTTGCTTGCCACATTTCTGCATTAAACTTCTATATTAGCTTCAAAGGCTTTTAAACTCAATGCGAACATTCTACGGGATGTTCTTAGATGCCTTTAAAAAGGGGGCAGATCTAATTTTATTTGAACCCTCACTTTCCAACTTCACCATGACCCAGTACTAGAGATTAGGGCACTTCAAAGCATTGAAAAAAATCTACTGATACTTACTTTCTTAGACAAGTAGTTCTTAGTTAACCACCAATGGAACTGGGTTCATTCTGAATCCTGGAGGAGCTTCCTCGTGCCACCCAGTGTTTCTGGGCCCTCTGTGTGAGCAGCCAGGTGTGAGCTGTTTTAGAAGCAGCGTGTTGCCTTCATCTCTCCCGTTTCCCAAAAGAACAAAGGATAAAGGTGACAGTCACACTCCTGGGTTAAAAAAAGCATTCCAGAACCACTTCTCTTTATGGGCACAACAAAGAAACGAAGGCTGAAGTTCGCCTACCCAAAATGAAAAGTAGGCTTTACAGTCAAAAGTACTTCTGTTGATTGCTAAATAACTTCATTTTCTTGAAATAGAGCAACTTTGAGTGAAATCTGCAACATGGATACCATGTATGTAAGATACTGCTGTACAGAAGAGTTAAGGCTTACAGTGCAAATGAGGCGTCAGCTTTGGGTGCTAAAATTAACAAGTCTAATATTATTACCATCAATCAGGAAGAGAATAATAAATGTTTAAACAAACACAGCAGTCTGTATAAAAATACCGTGTATCATTTACTCTTTCTGCAGCTCTATACGATAGGCAGGAGAGGCTTATGTGGCAGCACAAGCCAGGTGGGGATTTTGTAAAGAAGTGATAAAACATTTGTAAGTAATCCAAGTAGGTGTATTAAGGCACCAAAAGTAACATGGCACCCAACACCCAAAAATAAAAATATGAAATATGAGTGTGAACTCTGAGTAGAGTATGAAACACCACAGAAAGTCTTAGAAATAGCTCTGGAGTGGCTCTCCCAGGACAGTTTCCAGTTGCTGAATAGTCTTTTGGCACTGATGTTCTACTTCTTCACATTCATCTAAAAAAAAAAAAAAAAAATCAAAATTAAAATCTGAGTCAGTCCGCCTGCCTCGGTTCTCATTAGTTTAATTCTTAATGCCTTGCACTTTCCGGCAATCATTCAATCAAAAGAGTGAAATGAAGCACATTAACAAAGCAGGAGGCGCCACGGACCGCCTCCCTCCACACCGCTCCTTCCGCCTTCATTCCTTGCCCACAGGCTTGCACTGGAAGCTGAATAAGAATCCCCAAAACTCAAACTTCCTAGGGATGCCACCCCTTTAGTAGCTCACACCTCCCCCCTCCAAGAGCTAAGAAACAAAGGAGAATGTACTTTTGTAGCTTAGATAAGCAATGAATCAGTAAAGGACTGATCTACTTGCTCCACCACCCCTCCCTTAATAATAACATTTACTGTTATTTCCTGGGCCTAAGACTCTATGTTCCAGAACTGTCACAGCTCCCCATGTCACACTCACTAGCTTGTGATCTTTGTCAAATAACTGAAATCTTTTAAGCCTCTAGTTTCTTCCTTTGTAAAACAGAGATAAAATGTTGTGGTTTTTAAGTGAGATAATCCAAGTAAAGCACCTAACATGGAGTAGTGAATGAACATCGGTTGCTACTAAAAGTGGACATCCTACTGCATCCTTAATGCCACTAGGCATTTCCATACAATCTGGGGACCAAAACTTCAATCATATAAATGTATGAGGTTAATTAAAAACACTACTGTAATCTGCTTGTATGATCACAAACCACCACAAAAGAAAAGATCGTGAAGATTACACTGTAAACGGACTCTCAAATGATCAGGAGGTGGTCACTTCGCAACTTGCTCCCTCCACCCAACTCAAAACAGGAGCTCGAGCCTGCCTGTATTTGAGACTGGAGCTGCCTGTATGAGGACTGGATCAACTGCTAGTCACGTTATATCCAAATCTGCATTATCATTGGGCACATTTTCACAGAATTTTACTGAATTATTCCTTAATTGTTTAATGGTTGGGAATAGTTTGGGAATTACCTTCCATCAACTCTGCTAAGAAAGGAATGGATTCTGGTAGCAAGACAATATAATTCTCCTTTAGTTTTTCAGCCAGTGCTAACACAGTAATCAAAGCAGCAAATCGAACCTGAAAGGGATAAAAGAGCAAAGAAATAAAAAGTAGTGTTACTGTATTTATTATCTTAAGAGCTGTACTGACTTGAGACAAGCTCTAACTTTTTAAACATTAGTTCACATGCGTTTATTCACTTCATTATGTTCATTAAGCTTTCATCTTAGAATACCAGTTTCACCATTTGGGAGCTGTTTGTAATATGTGCAACCTTATAAATAGTGTTTTCCAAACTGTGTCCCAGGACTGCAAATCTTTAATGTGAAATGTCTTTTTATAATCTCTTCCTTTAAAAAAAACCAATAAAATAAAATGCCGCATGCAAACTCAAGTGTGTCACCAGATTTTACTTCATTGGCGCTCGCCAGCCCGCCAGGCTGGCAATAAAGTGCCTCCAGCCACCTCTGGCAGGTCTCCTCACCCACAGCCCCTGACTGGTCACCACTATAATTGTATGAGGGGCCAGGACAGTCGCTTGGGATAAACTCCCATCTCAGCACTGAATAAAAAACATTCTGTGTCACAATATCCTAGTTTTGGGGCTTTAAAAACGTCTAGGTGTTCCTCACATGCCTTGTCTATAATAAGGAAAGCAAGCAGTAGTTGGGTATTGTTAGCTTTTGAAACAAAAGCCCTACTGGTCTTCTAATTTTGGATATTTTAATTAAAGAATATCTGGACAGTACAAAGTGAATTATTAAAAAACCATTTGTAACTACCTAGATTCAATCAGGATTTCCTTGATTTGTGCAAAGTAAAATATTACAATAAATTTGATACTGCTACTTGTATAAAAACCTATGGTTTAAAATGTGGGGGTTCATCATAATAGTCTCATTGTTAGCATATCCTAATAAAGAATTTGAACTAATAAATCCTATTAATAAAATTCTGCTTTGGTCTGTTATAGCCAGTAAAGTTCTAATACAATCATTAGTTTGAGAAATGGTGACTCATTGCTAAAACAGTTTGAAATTCGTAACACTTGGGTGTCAAATTTTGACTTCCACTCAACCTACCCATGTTTTATTTCCACTGCCACCACTTACTCAACAAGATCATAAGCCTAGTATCTATAAACAACAGAATGTATTGCTCTAACTCAAAAGACTATAGTGTGGATAAATTCAATGCATTTCTCTCTGGAGCACAATGACATTTCAATGGCACTTAAAAAAGAAGGAATTACTTCAAATCTTTGTTATTTAAAAGTATTTAGAAAGTATTTTAGTACTTCTGCCCAACGCACCATTGGGGTGGGGATAGGGCATTGCTATTCTTTACAAATAGCCTGTAAGTAAAAAACAAAATTTTCTTAGGCACAAATTTCTGCCTAATACAAAAGACCGGACCTCTAGTACTGGATGACAAATAGCAATGTTCTTCCCTGCCAGTTTACTAGGGGGCCTACATCTGTGACCACCTGCAGGCTGTTTAGGCTATGCAGTGAAAAGATGCAGTTTCAGTACTTGTCACGCAGTTCCTAACCTTAGGCGAGGAGTCTCTCGTCTTTAGCAGAATCTGGTAGTTCAGTGGTTTCCAAAGAGAGTCATCCGCCATGGCCACCGAAAACTGTGCGATGCATGGTATCAGGTGCTTTGTCACCCGTTCCTGGAATTTCTCTTCTCCCCCAAGCCTGTTTTCCAGCTAGGAAGAGTAAGACAAAGACTTTGAACAACAAGTCTCATTTCTTTCTTCTGTTTGAAAAAATATCCAACATACAAATATTTTACTATCTTTCATGATATTAGCAGGTTCAAAAACCAGGCATTATTCTAATACTCTCTAGGGCAAATGTATTGCCTTCTAGAACTCAAATGGAATCTCATACCCTTTATCATCGCCCCTTTCTCTCCAGCAGAACATCTCAGAGGAGCTCTTTGCTCCAGAGGACAGCCATGCTCTGACGCGTTCTCAGTGAGGCCCAGTTAAAACAAATGAATACATTAACCATGACAGCTTATATCATGTCTGTCTTTTGAGCAGTTTAAAAAATAAAAAATAAAAAATAACTCAGGGCCAGGCATGGTGGCTCACGCCTGTAATCCCAGCAGTTTGGGAGGCCAAGGTGGGTGGATCACTTGAGGTCAGGAGTTCGAGACCAGCCTGGCCAACATGGCAAAACCTCATCCCTACTAAAAATACAAAAATTAGCCAGGTGTGGAGGCGGGCGCCTGTGATCCCAGCTATTCGGGAGGCTGAGGCACAAGAATTGCTTGAAACCGGGAGGTGGAGGTTGCAGCGAGCCGAGATTGCACCACTGCACTCCAGCCTGGGTGACAGAGCAAGACCCTGTCTCAAAACAACAAAACAAAACTCAAATTCCACAATGAAGTTATATCTTTGAAAAAACAATTTTCAAATAAAACATTTCATTAAAAAGACCAGAAAAAACAACCTTACAAAGAAAAATCCTAGCAAGCTGTCATTTGAGCAGATCTAAAACCTGCCAAGCTCGAACAGTGATGGCTTCCTCAGCAACGAAAGATGATTCTGTTTGGTTACCTGATCCACCAGAGGCATCATCAAGGCTTCTGCTCTCTCTTTACTTATAAAATGCTGGGTATCAAAAAGGAAGATTTTGTATAAACAGTTCAAAATAAACTGCAACAGCAAGCAGCACTTTTCAGGGTCATTTTCAGAGTCAAAAAATGCTTCATCTGTAGACGTGGGAAGAGTAAAAATGAAAAAACACTGAACTTAACCATTTAATCTCCAATGTTTACATTGAAATCACTATTAAAATAACTAAATCAGAAGAGTCTAAAATGATCTAGAAATCATAATCAGGACGAAGGCAGAACACAATGGATGGTCTCTCGAAGAATGATTCCTTCTTTTAGAGTTAAGATTCTAACACTCACTCTGGCAAGTTAAATTCCCTCAACTGTCAAGTGGGTCACGTATTAGCATTAGAGAATAAACTAATCTTAATTTTTGCGTTTTAAAGTTACTTCCAGTAACTGACAGTAACGGCCATTTACTTTATTCTTTCTCCCAAGTGAGGTGACTTATAACATTCGCTCATGATGCTAAAACAACACTTCACTGTCTGACAACAATGAAGTAAAAAATTCACCCTCCTTAGCTTAGGACTTAAGAACCTCTAAAATCTTGCTTCCAAGCACTAGGTTGTGTCTTACTGGTACCTTGTATAAGGCACACAGGGCAAGGGTGACAGCTGAACTGAAGCGACCACCCACCTGTTTTGGAGATGTTCACCTGGTTCAAGGTGTCAGCAAAAGGCTTCACTAAGTGGCCGGCAAACAGAGTAAAAAGCCCTTTCAGCTTTTCAGCAATGCAATCTGCCAAGTTGTAAAATGTCAACAACCTGTCCTTTGGGGCATCTTCTGTTTTAGCCCAATCAAACAGCTGAAAGGATAAGACAGTATTAGTTTCTTCGACATCTTGTCACTTAAATCTGAGCACAAAAGAGAGGAAGAGGAAGAAAGCGTCACCTTGAAGAACAGGGGCCTGAATGTGACCTCGGAAAGTTTGACAACCATGGCTACTAGACAGTCAATGATACAATTTTCCGTTTTTCCAACTTCCTCCAGATCGTTCTGAAAACAGAAGAGCCCATTTATTAGAGTGCTGATACCTGACTGTAAATTATTTTGGCAAGTACCACTGTTACACGGCTAGATTGTTCTCGGACTCTTCAATAGGTGGATAACAGCTTTAGGATTTGGAGGAGTGAACCTGAGCTTACCTCAGAGTGCTGGGCTCGGAAGTCCAGGGCTTCCAGGAAAAAGGCGGTTAGCTGAGACTGATGGGAGGTGAGCTCTTCCTTCTTCATCACCCCAATATGCTCTTGCAAGATGCTCATAAACGGACCCATGTGATTCTACCAATAACACAGGAAAGAGATGTGCCATTTTCAAATGATTCCTAGAGTTCAGCGGTGTGTATTTTTAAAAACTAAATCTTCTTCTTTAAGTCAAAGTTTACACATTGCAGTACCACCTCTCCCTTCTCCAAAGTCTTAATACCCAATAAGATCTAACCTTCCAGTTCTTCTCAATCTGCTTGTAAGTTTTTTTGATGGCGGGCAACAGGACTCGGGGTGCAAGTGTGGTAGCCAGTGTCTTTTTAAGAGATGTGAGACGGATATTAGCCTGTGACGCAGAACCCATTTCACTAGTGATTTTCTCCAGATGAATCACCTACAGGAATATAAAAAAAGTGATCAGGGCCACTGCAGATCTTCGCTGACAAACACACACTTACAGAGAGGCTTCATGATGAGGTACTAGTGTTTGGAAAATGCTTAGCACTTTTTAACTACACACAGAATTCCTTTTAAAGTCAGCCCTAAACGTCAGTGGATAAAACTGGGCAGACACCTCTTGCCCAACTTGCGATCAGGGACGAAGGCCGATGGTAGACGCAGACGCACACACAGCACCCAGACAGATGATTTTCTTAGAGGACAGGAATGCAAGGGACCACGGCAAGAGTCAAGTTGCTAAAAAACTGAGAAAGCTCCTCAGAGCACAGGCCCCTTTCTCTGAGAAGGCTACTTTTAAACCCTGGCTGTGGTGTAAGTGAAGCGGTTTAATCATTTGCCCCATGGTAATGAAGGCTCCTAACCTTGTAAATGGCAAATGATCAACACAATGGAACAGCCAGGTCTCAACATTCTTGAGCATCTTCAATCATAAATACCACTGGCCCCTAGCGTGTTGACAGGAAACCGCTGACGTGCAATACAAAAATTCTGCTTTGCAAGATGCCTTAGGATTATACCTCTCACAGTAGAAACAGGGCCCATCAATTTCCACAAGTAATAAAAGGCGGCTCTACCAGCCCAACTCCAAAGATCTCACAGAAGAAAAAAAAGCCAGAATACATTCCGCACAATTAAAGAAGAGAAGCATCTCGCTAAAAAGTGACCCCCATATCAATTTCAAGATTAAGTGGCAAGGATGATGGAAGAGAAAAAGTACACATTTAATAAAAGCAAGCACATCTCTTCAGAAATAAGACTCCTTTCTGTCAAACGGAAACTAACCCTTAAAGAAAAAACAAAATCACTACATTTGTGATCTTTTACCTTCCCCAGCCACCCTGCGTAGCATGTCGTGGCTATCGTGGCTCACCTGGGAGAGAATGCCTTCCAGATAGGGGCTGATGAAGTGCGGGAGAGTCTCCACAACCTTCTGCAGAGCAGCCAAGGCACTGAGCAGGTAGACCTCGCTGGAGACCAGCTCGCTGGTGTTCTTCATTGTTGTCAGCAACGATGGCATCAGGCTAGAAACAAAGTAAGAGCTTTAGAAGAACTTGAAGCAGAAACAGAGGCTAGGGAATGGAGTAGAGGGCATTATGAAAAAAACCAGCAAACTGTGCCTATTACATCGCTATCTGCTTCATAGCCTAAAAAGCAGTGTCTATACATTTTATGTGGCTAAGCACAAGAAATCTCCCAGTGCTAACAGTACGGACACAACAGTAATTTAAAAAATAACAATGTCTTTCATTAACTGAACACTTACTATGTGTCAGGCACTATGCAAAACTCCTTGCAAGCACTGCCCTACAGAAATCCTATGAGGTAGATACTGTCTCTGTTTTATAGACAGCAAAGCTCTAACAGGTTAAGGAACATACTGGCTGTACAGTAAGGAACTACCACAGCCAGGAGCTTCTAACTTCCAAATTTGGCAGCAGAAGGCAGCTTTGGCCTTGCCTAACTGGGTGGGCCCCTCTGCCAAGAACCTTCACCCACTGCTTTTTGACTATACTAGACAAAAGGAAGGAAGAATGGAGGACGATTAACACTGCAAAGTAGTGCATCTGAAGATAAACGGGAAGGCTGCATCTTTCTGTTTGAAGATTAATTATTTTTATTATTATTTCTTTAAGAGACAGGGTCTCACTCTGTTGCCCAGGCTACAGTGCAGTGGTGCAGTCATAGCTCACTGCAGCCTCAAACTCCTGGGCTCAAACGATCTCCCTGCCTTGGCCTCCCAAAGTGGTGGGATCACAGCCGTGAGCCACCACACCCTGCAAGATCAATTCTTTAACAAATTCCAATTTTATGCAACGTCTACTCAGAGGAAAAAAAAAAAAAGTCACCAAAGTGTTATTTTTCAATGTGTGCCAGGCGGTAACAGCTCCTGTTCCAAGTCTCCGGCCGCATACCTGGGAAGCTGGGGGATGGCCAGCGCCTCCAGGGTGGAGGTCACCTCTGCTATGCACAGCAGCGCGCTTCCCAGGACATTCTTCTCCTCCTTTCTCTCTGGAGCAATCAGTTTCACAGCAGTGTTCAGCACTGGGACAAAAGGATCTGGATTTTCTGCACCAAAATTCTTGCATAAAAGCTTTAAGGTATACAACGCTGTCTGTCTGTTGATTGCTTGTTCTTCTTCCCCTTCCTTTTTCTTACGCTGCACAATGGCCAAAAGGTCTGGAACCAGTTTTAGGAAACGGGTAACCTGAAGGGGACAGCCAGAATCCCCAAATCATTAAAGCTGCAAAAAATGTTTGTCCATTTTCCCATTGTCACAGCTTGAGATTGTCTAAATGGAAATCAGACTCGGGGGTCCTGAGTCACACAGTCATGCTAAGCGATGTGCATGTTCTAGCCAGTGTTTCACTTATACAAAGCACCCACTGATCTGGAGTAAAAGGGACTTAGAACTATGCTAAGGCTAAGGCCACGTAAGCTCTGTAGTAAGCAAGAATTCCACTAGGCTGAAATTCCATTCTAAGAGCTCTTACAACACACATATATTCCCGTTAGAATTAACGTCACATTTTAAAACATGTCATGGTATTATATTCAGAAAATAATATACTTCAATTTGAAATTGTACCACTAGAGAAATTGAAGGGAGTTAAATGCAGCTCTTTGATAAAGCAAAGTACAGTAAATGGGTGTGTCCTGGGTCTTCACTCACTATTGTCTTCTTCCAGGATATATTTTGCTGCAGCTTGTTATTCAAAAGGTCCAGCGCTTTGCGGCGAACAGATGGCAGGGGATTGCCCACCAGCCCTCTGATCACAGGAATGAATGTCTCTGTGGGCAGCAAGGCATTGACCTAAAGAGAAATTTTATATTTAACATGAAAAGAAAAACAAATTAAAAAAAAAACCAACTTCAATTAAGACAGACTGCTGTCCACTGCACACCTCCAGGCACCAGGCACTTCCACACACATTTTCTTATTTAATTCTTAAAATAACCTTTCAGGTAGGCATTACCAACCACACATTATCGAACAAAACAAAAGCCTGATGTCAGGAGGAAGTGCCAAAGGCATGCAGCTAAATGACTGAGCTAGATTTGAATCAGCAATCCTAACTTCGAGGCCAGTGATATGTATGTAATATACTTCATACTTTTATTTTATTCCACTTGAATAAAGTAGAACAGTATATATTATATGACTTAATTATTAAAATATACGAGGTACATGTTCTCATAACTGGTAAGGAAACAATTTTTTCCAGACAAATCTATTTCTAGTCATCAAGAGATTGTTTTCTAAGAAAAATCTGAGCTTCATTATATTCATAAAAGGAATTGCTAAGTTTATTCTTAAAAACTTTACATAATTTCACAATAATTTAAAAAACAGCAACAAAACAGTAATTCCAGGGAGAAATGAACACCTACCTTATCTAACAGGTCGTAAGCTTTACTAAGGAGCGCGCGCCAGAACTTCACGGTGAGTTTGTCTGCGTTCCTTTCCATGGACTGTGCAACTGCACTGATATAGCCGAGAACGGTCTCCAGCAACCTGAAACACAGAGGCTCGCTCAGCAAACGGCAGCTGAAGGCACTCAGAGAACTTGTTCATGTCTACCTTATGCTAAATGTTTCAAGTAGAAAGACGAGTTAAATAATTCTGTACTAAATTATTTCAAAAACTACTCGGAAAGAAAGGAAATGAGGGATTATTGCCATAGACAGAGATCATCAAGAAGTAACTAGGCGCTTCTGTGCAGAAGCATCGACCTCGCTCAGACTCTGTGAGGTGCTGAATAAGCAACAGATGCTGAAAGCGTTTAAGGAACTCACTCATATCTAGCTCATGCTCAGTGGATCTCACTGGGCTGTCCAAGTGGGGTGTTCAGGGAGTTATGGCCCTAGGTTAATGGCAGGTGTGTGCGCGCACACACACACAGGCACACACACGCACACATACACATGCACACACACCATACACCATTTATATAAAGAGAAATATTAATAGAAATGAACATATAACCCACTTCTTTCACATTATTAGGAGACAAAAAAAAAAGACTACAAACTTCAAATAACTTGTAATTAGAAAAGCACACACCAAATTCCAACACAGCTGCCACTGGAGATCCCCCCACTGCTGCCAGCCTGAGGGGGGAGCTAGAGGGAAGAGTGGAGACAGAAGTTGACACCGCACAGCAGAGGAGGGGAGAAGGGGGCGCAGACAAAATCAGCTCCAAAAACGAAAGTCCTACGCATAGCGCTACAAGTCAGCCCACAGGACTGGAACTCAGCAGCTCACATTCCTGGCTGCAGGGCAGGCACTTTCCAGTGGAAGGGGCAGGACAGTGGCCCTGGGAATGCCATGCATCTGAAAAGGAGGTACACAGCAAGGCCAGGAGGCAAACCCCGAGGACATGGGAGAGAAAGGAAAATTCCTGCACCCAAATATATAATGGCAGCATATGGATTAGAATCCACAGAATAAAGAATTCATGAGCCCATAGAAATCAGGGCCAGATTAAGACACTAAACAGATACTGCAACTCAATACAATACACAGACTTGACATGGATCATGATGCAGAAACACATGCGGTGTAAAGGAGAGTGTTGGGATAATTAGGGAGACTGGAGTATGAACTGTAGATTACATCACTGGATTGGATCAATGTTAAATTTTCTGAATTTGATCAATGTACTGTGGTTTTATAAGAACATCTCTTATTCTTAGAGACATAATGTATATGATTTACTTTCAAATGGCTCAGAGAAAAAACCCTACATAGGGAGAACGCTAAGGCAAATGTGGCAGAAAGTATTATCAAATGGTGAACCTGGTTGTAAAGAGTATATGAATTTTCTGTACTGTTTTTCCAGGTTTTCTATAAGTTTGAAGTCATTTCCAAATAAAAAGTAGAAAAAGAAAAGGAAACATACCTCTCTTCAAGGCCTTTTAAAATCTCAGGACCACCACTCTCAACTACCTAATTTTTAAAGAAGACGTCATTAGAACGGTAGGGAAGTCAATAATAAAAGTCATTTCAAGTCAGTTCAATGAAACTCGGACCATTCACTGAAACCTTCCACAGCAACTGTTTTCTGACATTACAATTTAATCAGGTTCATATCATCTTCATTATACTGTAGTAACTCTATTTCTCTTAATTTATTTTAATTACATTCTACTGGTAGTATCTAAAAAGTACTACAATGGTTCAGAAAAATACAGCAATCAACACTCAATTAGCACTACCGAATTCTATGACATGCTGAGCTGGTGAGCTCACATATCCTTTGTTGAGAAGTTAAACATTACAGATTCAGCTGGAATCCCCCAAGTACTGCTCCTTGGTCCTATTCTCCCTCTACCCCAAGCCCCACAAACAAAACCATCATCCCAAATCTGCTTCCAAATGTTTCAAACACTACATATCACGGAACAACATGTTTTTCTGGAAACATATTTTTGAGATCTATGCATGGTGACTTATGTTCTAGTTCCTTCATTTTAACTGCATATGATATTCCTCTATAAATACCACTTATCTATCCATTTGCCTCTGTTGTTAGATGTTTAGTTTATGTCCATTTTTTCCCCTTTTACTAATAATGCTAGAGAAGAACATTTTTATGTCCCTTTGATCATCTTGGGAAGTTTTTACAGCATATATACCTAAGGAAGGGAATGACCAGATCACAGGAATTACTGGAACTTTCAACCTCATGGGATCCTGCCAATTGCTTTCTAAAGTGGTTGGAACAATCACACTGTCTGCCACTACGTACCCAATCCCTGGTACTAACGACTTCAACAGTTTTGCCAATTTGATGGGTATCACATTTAATCACATTTCCTGCTTACTGGAGGCTAAATGACATTGTACATTAACTGGCCATCTGTAATTCCTCTTCAGTGAATTCATATTCTTTGCCAGTTGTTCTAATGGAAACTGAGGCTTTTTGATTTATGCAGAGCAATAATCTTCTCTCAGCCTGTGGCTTTCTATTGAATCAAAATTTTAAAGGAATTCTTTCCTATCCTCCAGTCACAATCATGTTCTCCTTGATTTTCTTCTAAACATTTGAACTGTTGTTTTTTACAATGAAGTTTTTACTCTGACTAAAGTTGTCTTTTCTACAAGGTGTGACATCAGACTTTTCCCCAAATGGGAAACAAATCATGCCAGGGCCAGCACTTGGACCATTCTCTCCCCCAACTGCTTTGTAAAATCACCTGCTGCACCTCTTACCTATGCCTGCATGTGTTTCTGGGCCTACTGTTCAGTCACATTGATCCATCTGATTACTCCTGCACCATACCACTGTCCTTGGCCCCTTACAGTTTGGTATCAATGTATCAATATCATTTCTTAAAATGATATAATTGAAAAAGCACACTGAGTTTCTAGACCAATCTGGGCAGATCTGCCACCTTTAAATAGTGAGGCTTCTTCATGCGTAAACACAGTGTCTCTCTATTTCTTCCAAGTTTTCTTCTGTGTCCCTTCATATCTTGCACATTTCCCCTGTAATATTTGTGCACATATTTTTGTCAGGCTTATTCTTGGTACCTTATAAGTTTATGTTTGTATTATACAGGAAATCTTTTTTTCTACTCTGTTTTCTAATTTGAGGAATAACAATATTATATAACAGTGGTGAGACTAATTAGTTCAGCCAGCCTGCTTGATACAGATCACAACCTACACTGATCTCTAGATAGTGTCTACACTGATCTCTCTTAAGCAAGCTTACTGAACTCATTATTAGTTCTAATTGCTGATTCTCTTCTTTCCTGATTCTTACACTTCATTTCTTTTCCTGAATAGAAACAATGACAGAGGAGATTCTTGTCCCTGACTGTAGCAGGCACACCATTAATATTTCATCATTAGGTATGATATAAACCACAAGCTTCAGATTGTCACCTTTATTAGGCCAAAGTAATTCCCATCTATCCTGCACTGCTGAGAGGAGTTTTTTCCTTTTTTTTATTTTTTTTATTTTTTCAGACAGAATCTCGCTCTGTCACCCAGGTTGGTGGAATGCATTGGCTCGATCTTGGCTCACTGCAAGCTATGCCTCCCGGGTTCACGCCATTCTCCTTCCTCAGCCTCCCGAGTAGCTGGGACTACAGGCGCCCACCACCACGCCCGGCTAATTTTTTGTATTTTTTAGTAGAGACCATGTTAGCCAGGATGGTCTCGATCTCCTGACCTCATGATCCGCCCGCCTCGGCCTCCCAAAGTGCTGGGATTACAGGTGTGAGCGAGGATTTTTCTCTCTTAAGTTGTGAATAAGCATTGAGTCTGCTGAATTATTTCACTGTGAAATGTAAAATGATCATATGGTTTCCCTTCTTCATCTGTTAACGCATTATAGGACCTAATGGACTTTACAGTACTCTAATGTCAAACCATTTTTGTATTCCTGGTCGTATTCCTTTCTTTCCTTCCTTTTCTCTCATTGTTTAAACAAGTTTAATACACAAACAGAGATGTATACAAATCATACATGCAGAACTCACTATATCCAGGTAAAGAAAGGCTGGGCATGATGGCTCATGCCTGTAATCCCAGCACTATGGGAACTCGAGTTGGGAGGATCGCTTGAGGCCAGGAATTTGACATCAGCCTGGGTAATAGAGCGAGACCCTGTCTCTATAAAAAAAGTTTTAAAATTAGCCAGATGTAGGTGGCACACGCCTGTAGTCCCAGCTACTTGGGAGGCTGAGGCAAGAGGATTGCTTGAGCCCAGGAGTTTCAGGTTGCAGTGAGCCATGATTGCTCTACTGCACTTCAGCCTGGGACATGGAGTGAGACCTGTCTCAAAAAATAAAATAAAATACAGGCAATTTATCTACTCTGCTGGTAGACACTGGAGTTGTTACCAGTTTTGTGCTACCATGAAGAATGTTATGAATATTATAAAGATTCTTGTAGTTTTTTTGGTGTACAGGTTCATAAACTTCTGATGGGTACACAACACTTAAGAATGAAACCACTGAGTCACAGAGTTTACATTATGTTCCATCTCAGTAGATCATGACGAACGGCTTTTCATGGTGAAACGTACTTTCTTGTTCTATTATCTTTAAAGGCGTGCCTCCCATTTTCATGAGCCATTTACCAAGCTACTTCTACTGGTTGAGAACAGTTCCTTGGAGACAGCAGAATACCTTTTTATAAACACATTTAAAGAACACATTACCTTTTTCAGAAAATTATTGGAAGACAGGAGCTGAGACATGAAGGACACTGACAAAAATTTAAAATGCCGCAGTTGCTTGCTAGTGTGAGTCTCTACATTAAAAACCTGTAGCATTTCTTCTTGTGATTCACTCTTATTAAATGACACTGCTTTGGGAATGGTTTCTGAAACAGCAATAAAACAAGTGACCTTACTCATTTTCACCTGAATCCTTCATACAGAATTAACAGATATAACCTTTCAAGTAAAGGACAATTAACGGGATAACATTTTCCCAGAGAAATGTGTTCATCTATTACATCCAGTTTCTCCTCTTCTAAATTAGTGAAAAACGTGAGTGTATTTGCCAAGAAAGTACCCAGTGGCCCTGAGAAGCGAGTGTTTAAGACAAAAAACAAAACAGGGAAACTGGACAATCAAATGGAAGAAACCACATCACGGAAGGAGTCTCTGAACTTCCAACTGCAGGTGTAGATTTCTTTATTCAATGTGTCTAATGTAAATGGGGTTGGCAGTGCAGTGTTAAAAACCACTAGCCTATAGAATGACTTACTGCTAAGACACTTCCTTACCCACATCACCACATATACCACATACACCACATACTGTCCAGGGACCTCCCTCGTCTGTCCCTGCCAAACCTGAGCTGACTGCAGGATGGGACAAGTTACTGCCTCGCCAAACAGGGATGACAGGGCCAATGGCTGGCCACGCAGAAAACAGTCTCTGCGGAGCTCTTAGAGTACCTTCCTTCTAACGTGCCTTGTCGTTCTGCTTCGAATTGTAGAGAACTAAGAACTATCAACACGTCAACCCTTTCTTAATGAAAAAAAGTTTTTTTTAGAGATGGCGTCTTACTATGTTGCTCAGGCTGGTCTTGAACTGCGCTAAAGTGATCCTCCTGTCTCATTCTCCTGGGTAGCTGGGACCACAGGCTAACACCATCACACCTGGCTTCATCAACCCTTTCCTAAGCCAGCCTCAGTGGTGCTGCGGTTCGTGGGATTTTCTTCAAGGCTCTGCTGCATGGTACAATTTTAATATTTTGCTGCCACTCCTGTGGTACCTACTTTTTTTCTTTTCATGTAAATGTCTTCAGATATTTTAATGAGAAGCTGAGAGACAGCTAATGAGGTCCTGATCATTTACTGTCATTTGAACCTAACTCATCCTGGATACCAGCAACATTCCACAGCCAAGACGTCAGCGCAGAGCACAGAGGTATAAAAGACAATGTGTGAGGAATGGCAAATGGAATTCCGACTATTTTCCATAAGGATTCAAGAAACTACACAATCAAATTAAAATGATTAACTTACTTTAAAAATCCTTCTGAAGATGTACTAAGGATAACCTGCATTCTCTTCTGTTTCTCTTTAGCTTTCAGATTGAACAGTAAGTGACACCCGATCTACGCTTACCTTCTTTTTCCTCTGGCAGCTTTAGTAAGTACTGGAGGATATTCATCAAGCTTTGTATCTGATGCTGGACACTAAACTCACAACAGACTGAAAACCAAAATTCAGTGTCTGCTTCTAAAATAGCATCCTGTGTAGAAAAAGAAAAAGGTAACAAATCTGTACTTAGGAATTGTGAAGGCATAATTTCAGGATAATGTGCGTTAGGATTTCTAGCAGAACAGAGTATACTACTTTATTTAGAGTGGGTCGAGATCTACTCCCAGATCCCATGTCTAAGAAGTCATTTAAAAATGGTCCTCGACTTATCCAAACAGGGCTTTATCCAAACAATCACCTGTGTTTGTGTCTTACTGACTTCAGGGACACGGACGCTCCTCTATTTCCCCACAAACTGCCTTCAAAACCGCTTTGAAGAGACACTGTTTCATTACTCTTCAGCCATACTCTGCTGGGCTTAAAAGAGAACCACTTGCGTGGCACCAGAACTGTTTCTCAGAAAAGTTAATTCGCCTTCAGATGTTTTGCTGCAACTGAGGATATTCAGAGTGCTATGGGCTCTGAATGCAATTTTTTAAAATGCCAAAAACCTTTTTGAAAAAGGTTCTGAGCAAAAAGGTTCTAAATAACACACATTAGGCATCATCAGCCCCATGTTTAAACTGGACAATATCATAAAATCTGTGTGAGAAATCACCATTTTCCTTATCTTCCCACCCTAGGTTCTGACCTTTTCGCCATAGGCAGCCGCCAGCACTGTTTTTGTGACATACTGTTCAAAAAGCAAGATGAGGAGAATCCAGAGGAATTTCTCTGCACCCAGTGTATCAACAAGTTGAACAAGGATGGGCAGGCGCCTGTGCTCCGGGACGTGTGGCAGCGCATCCACAAATACACTAATGATTTTTACCACAATCTCTTCAACGTTTCTTGAAACTTCTATAGAATCTCCACTATCAGACTGCAAAACAGCAAGCAGAGACAATGAGTAGGTGCAAGTAATCTTCCACAAAACAAGTTTAGGTGAACAAGATAAGGCTTTTAGATGGGCCCCAAGAAATTGCCAGAAGAATTTTATTTATTTTTTTAGAGACAGGGTCTTTCTCCATGGCCCAGGCTGAAGTGCAGTGATGTGATCATATCTCACCGCAGCCTGGATCTCCTGAGCTCAAAGAGATCCTCCTGCCCCAGCCTCCGAAGAAGCTGGGACATCCCAGGACCCCACCACCACTTTTTAAAAATTTTTGTAGAGACGGGGTTTTGCTATGTTGACCGGGCTGTTCTCAAACTCCTGGCCTCAAATAATCCCACCTCAGCCTCCCAAAGTGCTGGTGTTACAGGTGCATGCCACCACACTCAGCCACAAGAGTTTTAATAATCAAAGGCCTAACAATAAATATTCAGTAAGTACCTGTCATGTCCCAAGCGCTACTTAGCCCCAAGGGGAATACAAAGTGTACGATATGAGCCCTGCCCCAAAGGAGATTTATTTTCTGTATGAAACAGGATACATGGCTGGGCGCAGTGGCTCACGCCTGTAATCCCAACACTTTGGGAGGCCAAGCTGGGCAGATCACCTAAGGTCAGGAGTTCAAGACCAGCCAGGCCAACATGGTTAAACCCATCTCTACTAAAAATACAAAATTAGCCGGGCGTGGTGGTGCGTGCCTGTAGTCCCAGCTACTCAGGAGGCTGAGGCAGGAGAATCACTTGAAACCAGGAGGCAGAGGTCGCAGTGACCCAAGATCATGCCATTGCACTCTAGCCTGGGCAACAAGAGCAAAACTCTGTCTCAAACAAACAAAAGAAACAATACATGTGTGAAAAGATAACAGGAGGCAGTAATGGCACATGCCAAATATGTGACACTGATAGCAAGTCTGCTTAGACTGCCTGGGAAGGCTGCACAAATCACACAGGATTTGGGTTGTGCCTCAAGAAGAATGAAGATAAGCAGAGCACAGAAAAGGCCAACAACTTCCTGCTGCTTTCAGAATAAAGTTTGAACCATTTTACTCCAGGTATTGGTGATCAAAATATAGTTGTTGAATAAATGACAGAAAGAATGACAGAAAACACTTGAATGAATGAATAAACCAATGTCTACCTGTCTCAACCCTCTGCTCTCCATCAATCAATCACCATTACATTCTTCAAACATGCTGTGCACATTCCTAGATCATGCCTTTTCTCATACTATTGGCTCTGCCATCACTGAACAAATCCCATCCTTCTTTCACACCGGTACAAATTCTATTTCTTATAGAACTTTCTGGTCATCCTGGCCCATATAGACTTTCCCCTATTCTGAACTCTTTAGCATTTACTTATTCGACTGGCACTGATCATATGAATGCATATTATTATTTTTCTTTTTAGGTATATATCCTATACTTGCCAACTTGGTGGACACTGAGAACACCAATCTAATACTAAGGTTAAAAGAAGGTGCTGAATATGGTCATCCCTCAGAGGGTCAATAGCATGAGAAAAGACATTAATTAACAAGTGAAGGGTACATAGACAACTCAAGTAGATGAACAAGCTCTTTTACTCTTGAGGCTACTTTTAACTTTTGAATTGTTCATTCCTTACTGGGAGAGAGAACATCTCACCTCTCTCTCTGAGTTTAGCTCTTAGAGAATGCTTGGTAAACATTTGCTAAACTGCATGTTAACAAATTTGTCACTGTAGCTCTAAAAGTTCCTAGCCTCATCAACATGTAAGAAGGTATTATCAAACTGATGCAATGTCCTGAAATAGATGGTGGATGTCAATTTACCCCACCCGAATGATGTTAAGACACTTACAGTTACACACTCACAGCACAGCAGAACCAGCTATAACACGTTTGTTTATATTATTGAGAAAGACATTGCCAAGACTGCTTCTTAGCTTCAATGTTCTAAAACTTAAGGGCAATGTACTTCAGCATTTCAGAAAGGCTTTTATACAACTGTTGAGGATATTAAAAAAAAAAAACAAAAAAAAAAAACTAAAAAAAAGGCTTTTAATGTCATTTATATGCAAAATTTTTAAATTAAAAAAAGAAACCCCACGATGGTATAAAGAGACCTTACCTGAATAAGTGCGGGAATAACCATTTTCACTGTCTTGTTAATAACTTGAAAACTGTAAGTATCATCTAGGCGCATGACATTGGCTCCCATAAATGTAAAAATAGACATGATATTGTGTAAAACTTTATCCTGAAAGAAAACACAACTATCAACATTTTTTATTTCTGTTAATTTCTACTAATTTTTTTTTCAAGAGATAGCGTCTCGCTCCGTCATTCAGGCTGGGATGCAGTGCAGTTGTGTGATCACAGTTCACTGAAACCTTGGACTCCTAAGCTCAAGCAATCCTTCCACCTCAGCCTCCTGAGTAGCTAGGACTACAGGTGCATGCTACCCTGCCCAGCTAATTTTTTTTCCTTTTCTGTTTTGTAAGGGTGGGGTCTCACTATGTTACCCAGGCTGGTCTTGAACTCCCAGGCTGGTCTTGAACTCCTGGCCACAAGTGATATTCCTGCTCAGGCTAACATTTTCCATTTCAACAATTCATTACAACTCACCAATAAAAAGAGAAATAACCTGATTAAAAAACAGGCAAAGGATTTGAAAAGACATTTCTTCAAAGAAAAAATTCATACGAAAAGAATATAAGCACAAATACTACTTCACACCCACTAGAATGGCGATAAAAAAGACAGTAACAAGTACTGGCAAGGATGTGAAGAAATTGGGAACTTTACAGGCTGCTGGTGGAAGCAAAATGGTGTGGCCACTATGGAAAATAGTCTTGCAAGTTACTCCAAAGCTAAACATAAAATTCCGTGTGACCCAACAATTCCACTCCTAGGTATATATACCCAGGAGATATGAAAACATGTCCACACAAAACCATGTCTACAATATTCATAGCAACATAATTTATAATAGCCCCACAGTTGAAACAACCCAAATGTCCATCAACCGATGAACAGATAAACAAAATGTGGCATACACATACAACAATATTATTCAGTCATAAAAGGAATACGGATTCAAGCTTCAACAAGAATGAACCTCAAAAACATTATGCTAAGCAGCCGGGCACGGTGGCTCACGCCTGTAGTTCCAGCACTTTGGGAGGCCGAGGCGGGCGGATCATGACATCAGGAGATCGAGACCATCCTGGCTAACACGGTGAAACCCCGTCTCTACTAAAAATACAAAAAAATTAGCCGGGCGTGGTGGCGGGTGCCTGTAGTCCTAGCTACTCGGGAGGCGGAGGCAGGAGAATGGCATGAACCCAAGAGGCAGAGCTTGCAGTGAGCTGAGATCGCGCCACTGCACTCCAGCCTCGGCAACAGAGCGAGACTCCGTCTCAAAACAAACAAACAAACAAACAAAAACATTATGCTAAGCAAAAGAAACCAGACACAGAGGGCCACATATTGTATGACTCAATTTATATGACATGTCCAGCATAGGCAGATTGAGAGAGACAGAAAATGGATTACTAGTGGCCAGGAGCAGGGTGGTGGTCATGGTGGTGGTGGTGGTGCTGGTGGTGACGGTGGCAGCGGCAGGGAGGAGGGAGAGGAAGAGTGACAGTTAATGGGTGTAGGGTTTCTTTTCTGGGGTGATGAAAATACTCTTCAAGTAGATCGTGGTGGTGATTACAGAAACTTCGTGAATATACTAAAATCACTTAATTGTATACTTTAAATGGGTGAATTTTATGGCATCTGAACTATATTTCAATAAAAACAGAAAAAATATTAATGATTCTTAACTGTTTCTGGATTATCAACCCCTTTGAGAAGCACAGACTCTCTTACAAGAAAAAAAGAAATCCCATACAGATAAAACTTTGCATATGATTTCAGTAGATTAAGATCCCCTAAAGCTCATGGAGAACCCCAGGTTAAGGAGCTCTGACTCAAATCCTCAATATGAAAATAGCTTCAATCTCTTTACAAATGTTTAAATGATATTTTTCATAAAAGGGACATGATTTCTTTAAATGACATAGTTTATGATCAAATTAATTTTCTGAAGTCACTGGTTAAAGGTTACTTTGAGGATTACTTGAGGATAAATGAGATATTAACTTTTCCCAATTAACACCAATACCTACTGTTTTATTAGATAGATAGTGTGCCAGGTATTATGCTAAGTACTAACCACAAATTATCCAACTGAATTCCCCCAACAATCCAGTGAAGAAGGTTATTATTCCCACTTGATAAAAAGGGAAACCAAAGCTTAGCAAGATCAACTGGCTTATACAGTCCCAGCTATGAAGAGGCAGGGCTGAGAGTCTCACCAGTGCTGGAAGATTCCAAAGCCTAATTGATTAAATTTAAAATCAACAGGTGCCAGTGCATTTCTGTGGAAGAAAAATATCTGAAATATCTGCTAAAATCTTATATCATTAACGCTTACCGGAAATATTCCAGCAACAGTGCCCAAAAGTAAAAGGGCATGGTGATGGGTCTGCGGCATCTCCGAAAGGCGGATGCACTGAACTATCAACTCCACGTTGAACTTCTCCTCATCTAAAATATCTACAATGGTGAGAAAGACAAAAACCCTAAGTGGCAGGTACACTCACGCTCAAAGTAGATAATTTTTCTAACCTTTCCTTCCAAAAAGTACCTACCTTTGGGTATTTTGCCACCATCTGGAGATAGTTTTTGGCAGATGTTGAGCAGACAACTAAGAATTAATTGTTTGGTGTATTCCATATTTCCCTGCTCTTGTGGCAAGGGTTCTAAACATCTTCAGGACACCCAAAAGAGAAATGATGGGAAATGTAAAAGTTGTACAATTCATTGTTACATTAATGGCCATTGTCCAGAACTCATTCAATAAGGAACTCATTCAATAAGGAATAACTAAAATACTATCATTAAACATCAAGTCTAGAAATAAGATATAAGATTTCTAACTCTAATTTTCTCTCATATAGACAGGCGCTATGTCAAATTCCACGTCCTCTCTATTGCACTTTCCATTAGCCTATCTGGAATCTTACAGGACAACCTTCAGAATTACTTTGCCTTTCACATGAAAGCACACGCTACAATTCATACTCAATTTACACACACACATACACAAATCTACGTATATAGAATATATACATCTATATATATGAAAATATATTTAGATAGCAAACACTATATACACACATATCTATATCTATATAAATTCAACACTATATCTTGAAATGCAAGTAATGACGTCCCAGGCACGCTACTGAAAAGTTCAGAGGAAAGTAGGCTGTACAGTGAGTGGCCATTTACTACATGACACAGGACACTAAGGTCAGTTTGGGGCACCAGCAATGGATACCTAAAACCAATCTTTTAATTTCACCTATAGTACTTGCTTTATTTTACAGACTATCTAAACAAGAGAAGAGTATGTTGAAAAGAGAATGTTAGATAAGATGGGCAAGAATTAGAGTCCTATTCTCTCACAGATCAAAGCCAAGTGTCATTACCTTGATAGCAAGTTAAAAAGAGTTGGCACCAATATCTGAGGACTTCTGAGCTTCTTTTTGTGCTGCAGTAATTCCAGGATGAGAGTTACTCTTTGCCAGTAAGAACCTCCAACTTCCTGAACAGATTCTAGATCTTGTGATTTTCTGGAAAATGGAGAAGACAAAACGTTGGAAAAGCAAACTCTATCATGTGCTAAGTAAAAACCATTGTGCCTGATTATAGCAAATTGATGAGTATCAAAAAGTTCCAATGGTTTCATAACATTCAGAGTCAGGGAACAACAGCATGTGCTCAATGCATTTGTAGCTCTTACTTCTGCTGCATTTTTTGCCTTCTTTTTTGCTGAACTGTGCCCAAGGGTTTAGCTTTATCTGGTGGCTCCAGTTCTATTCGGACTTGTTCAGCATTAACGGAAATCTGAAATATTGAAGGAAGAAGAGTTGATGATATAATCCATTGGGATAAAATTAGAGCAATAAATGTTAACCCCTAGGAAGGATTTATTCAATTAAGAGGGAAGAATGACTTACTGGATATGCATCTGAACCCCCCCCAGCATTGGATGCTACTACCTTGTTACAGACTTCTTGAAAAACCAGAATGAGAAGAAAGCAAAGTAGGGAAGAGTATACACTAAAAGCTCTAGCCAACATAAATTCAACTTCAGATTTTCATTTTAACCAAGCTCTCCTACTACCATGCACTTGCTTTCTATACAATTTGTCTTGGGAGTCTCAAGTTACAGCCCTGCACTTGTCTTGATTATGATACAGTATCACTTCTCCAGTCCAGAGTCACTCAATTTCACGCTCATCCCTTAGAGTGGACAACTAGTAATGCAATACAGAATCATCCATACCGATTGTTTCCAAGTGCCGGATCAGATATGTATATTCTAATCAGCTAGGAAGGAATAAGACATATACACACATGCACAAAAACAGATTTACTGCCCCAGAGATTCTTTAGATATGGGGTGGGATCCAGATATCTCTTTTTATAAGGTTCTAACATCACAACTAAATCTTTGGATTCTGATTCAAAGAAAACAACTATAAAAAATACTTTTGTGATAACCATGGAAATATGATTATGAACTAGGTATTAGATAATACCAAGGAATTATTTTTTTTTTTACTTCTAATGGCATTGTAGTCATATCCACTTTTCAAAAGATGCACACTGAAGTACAGAGGGATGAAAGTGCATGACATTATGAGATTTACTTTAAAATATTTCAGCAAAGAAAAAGAAGGAAAAAAGATTAATATGTTAAAATTCTGAGAACTGCTGAATCTAGATACTAGAACTTTGTATTATTCTATATTCAAAAAAGAGAATAACCAGGTGGCTATTCTGATAATAACAAGGTTTCAATATACGTATAAAACCAACAAGCAGAATTTCAATTCCATTATATGTCATTAAACAACTATTTAAATTAAGTAGAATAATGTTACCCAGTTCAATACTGAGCCATTGACTCATTCCTATTCCTTGCATAAAGGAATAGGTAGATTCCGTCTAATATGAGAAAGATCACACACACACATATTCCTACACATCCTATCTGGTTAAAATTATCAACAAATACTTCATAAAATAAAATAATGGTAAAGATTTAAAATTTTTATTTTATGCCTCTCTCTGACTTACTTTTCCATGATTTTTGTTAATGGTAACATCTGACCTCTTACAAGCACTATAAAATACAGGACTCTTAAACATGGTGTCCCTTGGAAGAGACTATAAACATTAATAAAAAAAATTACAAGAAGTTTGCAGCTTACCCCTTTAAAAACACTGCTGACAGTCTGAGCACAATGTGAGTTTTTACAGTTCACCAATAAATCAAACAACATTCTTAAAAGCTTCTGCTGAACTTTTTCATCTGATATGGCTGCAAAAAATGGTTTTGTAATCTAGAGGGGGTAGAAAAAAGGCAACTGAGTTCAGTGAACAAGTTTAAATTCCAGAAATAATTTTTATATCAACCTCTCTCAAAATACAAAATTGTTTCCCACTTAATTTTGTCAGTTAAAATGCAATTCTTTTTAATGACCCATGTACAACGTTCAGTTTTCAAAAATGGGTCAAATACATCATTTTCCTTTAAAACGTCTAGTCCACCTGTAACTATCTTCTCCAAATAAAATATTAATCTTTTTTTTTTTAACGCTGTTCCTGTTGCCTTCTACCTTTAAATGCTTGAACATGCTATGCCTTAGTTTCTGAAAGAAATCACTGACCTTTTCAAGGGCTGTGATCTGAATGGTTGGCATTCCCGCGTAAAGTTCCTTTGTTGTGTGCACAGCTTTTATAAATATATCTAGACTCTTCGGATCCTCATTTAAAAGGGAAACTGAAAATTCATTATACTTTCCCAGAGTGAGATGCAGAACCATGGCCTCATCTTTCAGCACAGCTGTGGGCTCCTTCTGGATCTTTTCTAGCAGTTGTTCAGCCATAGGCAATAGCTGAGAAAGCACCATCTAAAGATCCAAAGACTTAGTAGTAAATAGTTATGTATACTGATATGTTTTTGCTCACTCTACAGAGACACTCAAAGCCTGCTGGAAGATGGGAGTTTAGCCTGGAGGAAAAAACCCAATGATGGTAACTTCTTAGACATGGAGACAGCTATTAATTCACACTAAGGCACTCAGGTCCTTTCTGACAGTTCATGTGTAATGCTCAAAAGTGCTAAACCCTTCAGAGATGAGCAGAAAGATAATCTGTGAGCATTCCTCAAGACTTGAGAACAGAAAACACAAACTAAAACTTTAGAGAATAAAAATAAAGTTTAAGATTCCCTAAAACACTGTATGTGTCCTTCAATGTTTCCAACTTGGTATAATTAATATTAATTCAAATTATGTATGTAAATCTTTAACTGCTAAACTAGGGGCCAGCAAATTATGGCTTGCAGGTCAAATTCAACAGACCACCTGTTTTTGTAAATTTTATTTACTGAAACACAGCCATGCTCATTTGTTTACACCCTGTCTGTGGCTGCTTTCCTGATACAACTGCAGAGATGAGTAGCTGCAACAGAGACTGTGTGGCCCCAAAAGCATAAAATATTTCCTATCTGGTCCTTTACCCAAGAAATTTGTCAATTATTAATTTAAACTATACCAGGGACAACTAAGGGCTGAATGCAACCTGTTTGTTCCTACCAAGAAAGTGTAATCAAATGGTCTTCAATCCATTTGGCTCATTTTAGTTCTCTAAGCCCACAGTCAGTCTAGGACTGATGAAGCACACAGGCATTTCTGTAACACTGGGATGAAAGAACCTTTTTTATGTTGGTCAGCACATGCCATCACATCAACAAGTGTTTCACAACTGCTTTCTTTTGTAACACAAGCTTCTTCGAAAACACAATGAAAGCTCTAAATATATATAATAAACGAGCAAATGATTTTGGAATTTTCATAGACTCGTGTCCAAATATATTCCTTTGTATAGAATTTTCACTTGAAAAACAGAGATGAACCAACAGCTTCTTTCAGCAGTGCAGCCCCATGAGACACGAGACTGTTAAGTTCATTTAAAATAAACTTAATGATTAGACAGGGACAACACATTTAATTTTAAAATAAAAAGAAACTCACCAGTACTTGTCTTTGTATCTTGTATCTGTTTTTCTCTACCTCAACTCATCCCCCTCTCAAATTAATATTACATTTATCTCTTCTGAGCGCACACATGCAACTCTTACAATTGTCTTCTTCACCCACAAGCAGTTACAACAATTCTTTAGTAACATCACAGGAATGTACAATCCACTTAAATGGCACATACCTCACCGTTGACTCCCTGAAGTACTTTCATCAAATCTTTTGCTATATAAGATGGGCAACTATACACACAACTAAGTAAGTTTTTCAAAGTTTCAGACAACTTCTGATGAGATTTCAGTTTCTTTTCTCTCTGTAGTTCCTCAAATAAAGTAGCCAAATCCTAAGATACCAAAAAGAAAATTGGATAAAAAAGGGTTAAGAAACTACAAAGGCTAAATATATTAATTACGGAAGACTCTTACCCAAATGATGTGACATTGTTTATAATTTTCCATTTCTCCTTAAAACCTTAATAAGAAACGTTATTAAAAACACACAGCTGGCTTACTATGAAAAGCTACACACTAAACCTTTATCCAATGAAAAGAACTAAATTGAAATATGACATTGCTATCTTTTCAAAAGTAGGGGGACACAGATGTACAGATATTGACCTATCAGTTCCTAAATCCAATGACTTAGTCCATCAAAATCCCTACACAGTGAAATGTCGAGAATGGAGAAAATTGCTCCAGTACACAGAGGCATGAACACACTCAATCTTCTTTGCTAACGAGCTTACCTGAATAACATAGGCAGCATCTGAAGTGATCTCCTCTGCTTTAGAAATCAAATGATCTATTATCAGATAAAACGGGGATGCCACTCCACTGAGGGCCTGGAGACACTGAATGGCAGCCCTACGAACTTCTTTTACGGGGCTTCCCAGGTTAATGAGTAAAGATGTCACCACTAAAATCAAAGGAAAAAAAAATTTAAGAAACAATTTTAAAAACTGAAACAGTACAAAATTTACATAGTACCAAAGGTACTTGATAAAAAGTTTCCCTTCGAATTCAAACTCCTTCTCTGTTCACTGTTTGAATATTTAATATTCCAGAGAAAGGTTAGGCATATGTTACCTGGTGCATTCTTTTGAAAATACACAAGAGCATACTATAAACTCTGTTCTACACCAACTGCTATCACATATGAGCTGGACATTGCGCAATGGTGCAATCTCGGCTCACTGCAACCTCCGCCTCCTGGGTTCAAGCAATTCTCCTGCCTCAGCCTCTTGAGCAGCTGGGATTACAGGTGCACGCCACACGCCTGGCTAATTTTGGTATTGTTAGTAGAGACTGGGTTTCACCATGTTGGCCAGGCTGGTTTCGAACTCCTGACCTCAAGTGAGCCACCCACCTTGGCCTCCCAAAGTGCTGGGATTACAGACACATCTAAACTCTTGCGAATGTTTTCCATAAGTACATACATATCCAAATTACATCATTCTTTTTTTTTTTTTTTTCAGATGGAGTTTTCCTCTTGTTGCCCAGGCTGGAGTGCAATGGCACGATCTCGGCTCACTGCAACCTCTGCCTCCTGGATTCAAGCGATTCTCCTGCCTCAGCCTCCCAAGTAGCTGGGATTACAGGCACGCGCCACCACATCCGGCTAATTTTGTATTTTTAGTAGAGACGGGGTTTCTTCATGTTGGTCAGGCTGGTCTCGAACTCCCAACCTCAGGTGATCCGCCCACCTCGGCCTCCCAAAGTGCTGGGATTATAGGTGTGAGCCATCAAACCCGGCCAAATCATTATTTTTTAATTGTATACTCCAATGTATTTTCCATATTTTAAAAACCGGTACCTTACTGGTAAAGTTTAGGTTGTTTCTATTCTTTTGTCATCAAAACAATGCTGCAACAAACACCGCTGCACATACAGCCTTGTACAAGCGTGCACGGGAAATTACCCACCTGTGCATCGTACTCTACAAATATTTGGTCCCAGACTGGTGTGTTTTGATTTTACTTTTTGATAGAGAAATGTTAGAGTCAAGTTTTTCTTCTACTTTTTTTCTGGTGCTTAGAAAGGCCCTCCTCACTCTAAGTGAATTTAGAAAGTACCTCTCTCTATATTTAGAGGGAGAGATCATATGTACCTCATGCTTTCTTCTAATGCCAGAGCTAAGTTTATGTTAAATCTTTAGTTCACATGAAATTTCTATCTAAGGAATGAGGTTGGAGTCAAACTTCCTAATGTTTCCAAATGGATAGCCAGATGTCCCATTTAACAATCCACATAACCATCTCACAGATCTTTGATTTTGCCTTTATTATATTCATACATTCCATAAGTATTTGAAACTTGTCTATTTCTGCCGGCTAGTACTTCTAGAATCATGTTCAATGAGAGTGATGATTTCAGCAGGAATGCCTTTGTTTTCCCAATTATGAAGTGAAAACGCTAGCTTTTGATTTGAGGAATTTTTGATCATGTTACTCCTATTCTGCTGTCAATCAGGATTACTGATTTTTGGCTAATGCCTTTTCAAATCTTTGGACACTTTATGGGTTTTGTCCTTCACTGATACAGTCAATTATATTAACATAGTTCCCTTTACTGAACCAATTTTATATTCTGGGCATGAACTCTAGCTAGGTAAATGATTTTTATAAATATGCTGCTAGAGCCTATTTGCGAATATTTTCTTTAGGATTTTTACATAATATTATTCAAAGCAACATGACCTATAGTTTTTGTCTGTAGGCTTTCTCAATTTTCAATGTTATGCCAGTTTTAAATAAAGAATCTGGAAGCTTCCCTTCTCTATGCCCTGCCCAGTTCAACAACATTGAAAAAATCTGCTTCAAAGATCTAGTAGGAATGCATCTGTGAGACCAACTGCGCTAGGGTTTTTAAAAAGATGTCTTTGGAACAAAGAGATATCTAAATTCCTTTTACAGTAATTAGTTATTTAAGCTTTATTTCATATCTACTGCAGCAAACTACGGTCATTTATATTTTGCTAGAAATTTTCCATTATACTTTCCATTTCTGAAATACTAAGATAAAGCTTGACAAGGTTTCAAACCTGCCTAAGAAGTTCATACAGGTTGAGCAACCTTGATCCAAAAATTCCAAAATCTCAAATTTTCGGAGCACCAATATGACACAAGTGGAAAATTCCACACCTGACCTCATGTGACGGGCTGCAGTGAAAATGCAGGCATACAACTGTTTATTCAGTGTCCCCACAGAAAAAAAGACCCTCCCAGCCCCCTGCAGCTGCAATGTATCTTTTTCACAAAGCCCAAATTCTTCCACACAAGCATGCCCACAAAGGGCAATACCAATGGAAAACTGAAGTTCTTCCATCTTGCTATTTACAGTCAAAATGACATATATGACTCAGAGGCCACTGTCAAAGGACAGTAAACATTTAATACCAAATTGGAAAACAGAAATAGTTATCTCTAAATAAAATATATGTACCTTTTTGAAAACCCACAAGTTTAGCAGAAAATAACTATTTTAATAAATTGCTATCTCCATACAATGGAATACTCTGCAGGCAGTTGTAAAAAGATAAATTTTTCCATTTATTAATATGGAAAGATGTCCATATTAATTGAAAAATTAAAGTTAAAAAATGTATAGAGTTGTTCTTATCCAAATATAACTAGAAAAACCTTAACAGTAAACTCACCTAAAATAAAGACCGAAATTTTGTAAGCGAATAAAAAATTACTTTTGTGGAATTTTATTTTAGAAATAAAACTTGAAATTACATATCTACTTTAAATGTAACAAAATTTGGTTACAAATGTAATTATGTGCTCTTTCAAAGAACTAACAAAAAATAAACACTGAGGAATTGTTCAGGGAAAAGTATACGATCATCTAACTTGCTTTCACAGAACATTTACAAAGAGTAATTTTGGAATTAAAAAAAAAACAACAAGAAACAAAACAAAAAAAAACCAAGGACATCTTCAAATTTCCCCAGGGCCACTCCTATGCCTCTGATATTAATAACATTACAGTTTGAAGCATTAATCATGTCCATTATTCTAATCAATTTTTTCATCTTCAACCATTCTTCTCTGATCTAATTCTGCCACATCCCCTCATGTCAATAGCTCTGTAAGTCAACCCACTTTTCAATATCGCATTCATTGTTTCATGAAATTCTGCATCTTTTGCAAAATTTGCAATTCTACATTATAAAAAAACTTAACTTTCAGTTATTTCATTAGAGAATGCCGAACCTGAATATGATTTATGCCCGATAAAAGAGATAAATGCAGGAGGGTTTTGTTTTTGTTAGCTCATTATTAAATTGTATTATGATGATCTGACTTCCATATCTAACCCATTGCTGCTACAGCTCAGAAAATGAATAGCTGATTATTAAGAACTCATATAATCACCTGCCATTTCTATTATTAAACTTTTGTGTTTGGTGAGATTTTGCTAGTGCCAGTAACTTAAAAGCAATACTTAGAAGTGACCAGAAATATGTATAGATGTACAGCCCTTTTTTTTTTTTTTTGAGACAGGGTCTTGCTCTGTTGCCCAGTTTGGAGTGCAGTGGTGCAATCACAGCTCACTGCAGCCTTGACCTCCCAGGCACAAGCCATCTGCCTACCTCAGGCAACTGAGTAGCTGGGACTACAGGCACGCACCATCACGCCCAGCTAATTTTTGTATTTTTTGTAGAGGCAGGATCTCATCACGTTGTCCAAGCTGGTCTTGAACTCTTGGCCTCAAGTGATCCTCCTGCCTTAGCCTCCCAAAGTGCTGAGACTATAGGTGTAAGCCACCTCGCCTGGCCTTTATCGATTTTTTTTTTTTTTGAGATGGAGTCTCGCTGTGTCACCAGGCTGGAGTGCAGTGGCACAATCTCGGCTCACTGCAACCTCCAACTCCCTGGTTCAAGCAATTCTCCAGCCTCAGCCTCCCAAGTAGCTGGGATTACAGGCACATGCCACCACGCCCAGCTAATTTTTGTATTTTTAGTAGAGACGGGGTTTCACCATGTTGCCCAGGATGGTCTTGATCTCCTGACCTCATGATCTGCCTGCTTCGGCCTCCCAAAGTGCTGGGATTACAGGCGTGAGATACCGCGCCTGCCCTCTGCTATTTTTTTTTAAGTTATAATTTTCCAAACTACATAAACCATATAGAGAAAGCATGAACAGTTGGTCATGACAAAACATAACAATGCTACTTTTAATACCTGGAGAAGATATGGATGCCAGTTGGTGTTTACACTGTGTCTTCTGAGAAGAAAGCATTGCACAGCCCACATAAAGAGCTTGAGTCTGCAGCACTGTTTTCACACTGCAGTTTAGTGGATTTGAAAGGCTAGAACCATAGGTCCATAAAACAGAACAGAACTTGAATAACTGAAAAACATCTTCTAGATGCACCTAATTAAAAAAAAAAAAAAGCAAACTTTTAATTCTTACTCAAATAAGCTGGTTCCAAATCCTCTTCTCACTAGTGTACAATTATAAAGAAACAAATAATTTAAGGCAAAGTTTTGCTTTGTCTAATCATTTCAAATTATTCCATATTCCATGTTTTAATGAACTGGGAAGATGTCAATGAAGAGTGATATTCAGAAGCCTCACTATAACCTTGCACTTGAAAACACAGAACCAAGACAAGAGCAGTATCTGGGACGCCTAATTAAGAAAATACTTCAACAATGTGCTGAGCAATGCCAACTCCATGTCAAATGCTGTAGAGAGAACAAGTCAGGCAAGAACAGGAACTGACCACTGGGCCTGGCAACATGGAGGTCACTGGTGCTGGGGATGAAATTTCCTGAGTAACTTCACGTGTGCTAAATAACCTCTCTGAACACCAGTATTCACATTTTTAAATGGTATTAACCAATCAAAAAGACTGGGCTGTTGTTATTTTTAAATATAGTAATGGGCCTAACATATTAGTAGGAGTGTAGCAATGTTAGTTTCTATTCAACCTACCGATTAGTATTGTGATTGTACTCTTTTACAGGGCCCGTGCTATTATATACTCTTCACTGTTTACAAGTCTACTTTTGTTTACATTATAAACTGTCATAACCCAAATAACCCACAGTATCTTTTTATTTATTTATTATTTTTTTTGAGATGGAGTCTCGCTCTGTCGCCCAGGCTGGAGTGCAGTGGAGCGATCTCCGCTCACTGCAAGCTCCACCTCCCAGGTTCATGCCATTCTCCTGCCTCAGCCTCCCGAGTAGCTGGGACTTCAGGAGCCCGCCACCACACCCGGCTAATTTTTTTTGTATTTTTCGTAGAGACGGCGTTTCACCATGTTAGCCAGGATGGTCTCGATCTCCTGACCTCGTGATCCACCCACCTTGGCCTCCCAAAGTGCTCGGATTATAGGCGTGAGCTACTGCGCCCAGCCCATCTTTTTTTTTTGAGACAGAGTCTCACTCTTGTCACCCAGGCTGGAGTACGGTGGTGTGATCTCGGCTCACTGCAACCTCTGCCTCCCGGGTTCAAGCGAATTCTCCTGCCTCTGCCTCCCAAGTGGCTGGGATTACAGGCCCCATCACCATGCCTGGCTAATTTTTGTATTTTTAGTAGAAATGGAGTTTCACTATGTTGGCCAGGCTGGTATTGAACTCCTGACCTCAAGTGATCCGCCTGCCTCGGCCTCCCAAAGTGCTGGGATTGCAGGCCAGCCATATCTTCTTTAAGGGTAGAGTACGCCTGAAAAGGAGGAGGCTTGTACCTTTATGAAAAGTTTCATCAGAACTCTGAAATGAACAGCATCGGCACCATTGAGCATCATCTCAAACAGCCCAATGAGCAAGTGCAGATAGTCCCTGCTGTCTTCTTTCAGTTGTTCAGGATTCCACCATATATCACCTACAAGGACATGGAAAGAGAAATGATGCTAGATCCTACATGAACATGCTGGGAGCTTTTTATTCAAGACAGTCATTGTGGAGTCAATCATTCAGTTTTGCAGAGTATCACATTTAAAAGATTCACAGCTTGTATCTTACCTTTAGGAAAAGATTTAGGAGCTTTCAGTGCATAAATAAATTTTTTCAAGGAAAATACAAGAAAAACCGAGTCCTCCACGGCCACCCTCTGAGTGCTGTTGAGCTCTTCTACATAATGTGCCCACAGCTCCACTGGGATCCCTCTGTCTAACATCAGTTCAATGTGCCATTCTGAGGGGATTTCCTGAAATGTTAAAGGAAACAAAAACTAGTACAAACTAAGGGTTCTGAACATGGGTTATATGAATTCCTCTGCATAATATGCAAAAGTTTTGTTTATGTGTGCATTTTGGTGGGGAAAGGATTAACAGAACTGCTTTGGTCGGATTTTTAAAGAGGTTTATCACTATTCACAAGGAAAGACAAAGTTAAATTTTATCTATGTCTTACCTTGAAACATTATCTCTAAAAACAAACTTTATTCATATGAACTGTTTATCCAATAAAGGGTAGGAATAAATAGGCATATTTCTTTTTTTTTTTTTTTTTTTTGAGACGGAGTCTTGCTCTGTCACCCAGGCTGGAGTGCAGCGGCACAATCTCAGCTCACTGCAACCTCCGCTTCCCAGGTTCAAGCAATTCTACTGCTTCAGCCTCCCGAGTAGGAAGGATTACAGGTGCCCGCCATCATGCCTGGCTAATTTTTGTATCTTTAGTAGAGATTAGGTTTCACCATTTTGGCCAGGTTGGTCTCGAACTCCTGTCCTCAGATGATCCACCCGCCTCGGCCTCCCAAAATGCTGGGATTATAGGCGTGAGCTACCGTGCCTGGCCAAAATAGGTATATTTCAAAACAGGAAGATAAACAGTTGGATTGCCAAGACATAGTTAAAGGGAATTCTTTGATTTCACTGTTTTACCACTAATCTGAATAAGGTACATGGCAAAAATCTCCAAACCTGCAGATGATTTTAAACAAGCAGCAAAATGTTAGGTGTTTAGAAATTATACTGTAAGTGCCAAAAGAATGCAGAACAGGTGTAAGAAAATGACAAATATGACTCTGTACAAGCAGTACAGAGTAATAACTTAGAAGGAAAATAATCCAAAGCCAGATTTACAATGTAACGTCTCCAGTGAGGGATTTGATTAACTCAACGTGCTGCTACAGGCGAAAACATGCTCATGACCTCGAGAAAGGTATTAAAAGTAAAGCAATATAAAATAACCTGTTATCTACATATGTATAATAAAACACTCTATTTGTCCATACTTTTAACACTGAGAACCAGTATAGTTCAGGTCATCATACTTCACAAAAGACACCAAGAAACTAAAAGTTAAGAAGGGCCTATCTGGACTATTTTTCAAAATATGAAGATTTTACTCTTTTTAAAGTTTACACATTTTAGCTAACAATGGCCATGATCAGAACTTATAAAATCCTGCGGGTATACGTAAATGTGAAAAAGATATAATTCATTTAGTAAATCCTATAATGAGAAGCCCTCTAAAATTTGGAGGACAAATAAAAACAAAATCCTTACATATAGCAGATATTAAAAAAAAAGTCTTGCTACCTCAAAACATGTCAAATGTAAACAGCTGAAACATGTCCTTTAGTAATACTATGAAAGACAGTAGTAGGCTGGAGGGATACACATCTATGTAATATTAAAATTATTTAAAGCCTAAAAGATCTATTTTTAGTAAACAATTGAATGAAATAGTATTTTGTTCAAGCACTAACACACCAAGTGAATTCTTCATCGCTAGAGGTAGTTAGGTGTAGCTTGGGTAATTATCCAATAAAGACAATAAAAGAGAGGAGAGTCAGGCATCAGATACAAAATATTGCAACCCTAAAATTTTATAATTCAACTAAACTTTCCGCAAAAGCAAGGGAGTGCCTAGTTGACTATCTCACTGCTACCCAAGACTGCTTCACATTTCATCCAGCTACTATCCACAGACTCAACATCTCGCCTCTGATTTTCAGTTTTGCTGTGACTAATAGGCCAGGCTGTTGTTTTATTCAACATCCCACTTTCTGGAGATTCTGCTTTCCTTACCACTGCAGTAATGACACTTTCAAGCTTCTTTATTTTTTTCTGCAACAAACTGAAGACTCTTATCGCAAATGGAAAGTGGGTTTCTTTTAAAGATGAACAACAAGAGACGAGCACAGACAGGATCACATGAAACGTTACTTTCTGCTTCAGGTTAAAGGACTCCTCCTCACCCACGCTTATTAAATCCTCCACCTTGAAAAATAAACACACTCTATTACCAGTTGCTCTTGATTTTCATAAAACAATTTTTTCAACTCAGGTCTATCTAGGTATTATGTGTTTTACATTTAAAGTGAGATGACAAACAGAAAGCCTTTATAAAGTACTAAGCACTGATTTCTAAGTAATTATAAGAATAATTTCAGAAACTGTAATGAACATAATTGCACTTGCCAACTGGTTAATGTATTTAAATCACACATCTAATCCTTTACAAAGGTTTATTTAATAAGGCAAAGATAATTTTCTCCTCTTTGGGATTATATTTTGCTATTTTAACAACAACAACAACAAAAAGACTAATATTTTAAATGGGAATGAGAAAAAATGGTGGTAAAAAGGATATATTATTCTTATGGGTGTGATATGGATCCACATTGAAAAAATATATAAAATGTTAAAAGATTTCAAACATTGCACAGAATATATTAAACAACACTGCAACGTTTAAAGTAAAACCAAGTACTCAAGAATAAAAGAAATTTTTTTTAAGAAAAATCTAGTAAAGCAAAAGCTGAGAATTTAATAAGAGTATGAGAAAGAAATCCAGGGGGTGGACTTTCAAAGCATACTTACCATCTTTAACATTGAAGAAGGATCTCCTAAATTTATATTATCAGCCAACAACTCAATCATCTTCTGATTTGCTACACCGATTAGTTTTCCTGGCTTTGTGCTTTTAATTACATTTTCAAGAGCTGTAAAGTAAAATCGAATGCAGAGAGCTCTTATGTCACCAACACTCAAAGAATCACATGAAGAATTCAGGCAAACATTTTACTATTGTTTATGAAGGTTTGCTTTCTATTTTTCCTTGTATCCGATTCTGAATTTGTCTATGAATTGGCTTCCTTTTCACTGTATACTTTTTATCTTGGCAAAAATTTTAAAAGACCTTACTGGCATATAAGCATGACCAACAATAAATTTTAAATTTTCCTTGTTTTCTTTTGTGTTATCTGTTCACTTTTTCTAAAAAAACAACTGAATTTTTTACCTTCTTCCCAGCCTCTTAATAGAGGGTGCAGGGAGCAGATTCCTGATTTTGATAAATATATAGCAATTTTCATCTCAGCAGATTCCGTATCATCATTATTGATAACCATAAATGGCAGCAAACATACAACCACCTGATTTGACAACTGATCATTTTCACTCAGTATCTCTTCTTTAATTAATATGTCAGCGGCTATCTTAAGTACCTCGTACCTAAAAGACATGCAAGCACACTTGGTTGAAAGACACATTGGAAGGCTTCAATTGGGCAAAAATTCATCATTACATTACTCCAGCTTAACTGACAATATCCTGGTCTCCTGACCAAAACTATTATTCAGATACACTAAGACACCACTTAAAATCCATGCCAATAACAGAGTTATCTGTGACAATATTTTTATTTATTTATTTTTTGTACAAGTGCTGGGATTACAGGCATGAGCCACTGTGCCTGGCCAACAATACTTTTAATCTGCTCATCCTGTCTAATCTTAAAAAAAAAATAATAATTTTTCTTAGAGAAATCACTAGAGGTTAACTATAACATAAGACATATCACACTAGATGTCTCAACTCTACCGGAAATCAGGTTCACTCAGGCACTCAAAAAAAATGAACCAAGCACATCCTACATGATAGATATCTACCCATACGATAGATACAAAAACACGTAAGACACACTCTCATCCTCTATGGAGCTTGCTTACTTTTTCTTGCAAAAAGCTTTGGTGCCAAAAATGAAATAAACAGAGCTCATTAAAAACTTACCACAGATGGTATCATGTGTCTCTGAACTTATTTTTTAATTTGTTTAACACATTGGTATTTGTTTTTAATTATAAAGTAAAAATTACATAAAGCAGCAAATTAGAAAGTCCTACCCATCTTACTTCCCAGAATGCAATATCATACATTATATACTTCCTTTTGCATTTTATTAAGAGAAATTCCAAACATAGAGAACAGTATAATGAACACACACAAACACAAATTAATTAACTGTATAATGAAAGAGAGTATTACAGTAAGATCTGTTCTACTACCACGACAAAAGGGTCATGTAATCAAAGCCTTAAAAAAAAAAAGAAGAAGAAATAGAAAGAACTTGATATAAGAACTTCATCAATTCAAAATAGTATGAGGAGAAATGAATACATACCATTCTCCATTCTTTGAAAGTTCTGCTCTTTGAAAGAGATTCAGAAGATTTGAAATCGTCACTTCTGAACTGAAGTGTTCTTTGAAAATCTAAAGGGAAAAAAATATCCAGAGTAGATTTGTACTTGCTTCAAACATGTATGGCGCTTTTTAAATGCGAATTTTAAAAAGAATGAATTATAAGGAATTTCTCCCAGGAATCCTAGTACAAATTAAAAGTTTTAAGATCTATTTCTCAAAAGTGGCATTCATAAGACAATTTCCACAGGTCCCAAGGTATTTGCTATTGATAAAAATATGTTAAAAGCAATATAAAAATTCACAAAACATTTTTCCTGTTTGAACAACTTCCATATATATTTAATATATCAAATTGTGAATTTCTGTGAGTTTCTCCTAACCAGACTTAAGTCTGTGCTCTCCAGAGAACAAATTTCCCATGGAAAAATAATTTCCAAAAATATTCTAGTCTCAAGCAGAGAATCAAGTGAGAAGGGCAAGGAAATTTACAAAATTGTATACCTCAACAAATGACAAATTCACTCACCTCAAAAGCACTTATAGCCGACAAAACAACATCTATATTATCATCACCTAATCGGGCTAAAACAGCTTCTTTTATGAAAGATTCATCAACACCCTCCTGAGCAATAAAAGAAAAACATTAATTTAGCTGTTGCCAAAAATCTCTTAAGGCTTTGCACTAGAAAGGAAGTATGGTTTTGTGAAAAACACTCCAGAATGACAGTCTAACACAGGCTCTGCTCTGGATGAGGACTGAAACACACTAGAACTAGATAATCGCTAAAGGGCCTTTTGAGATTAATAATTGTTTGGTACAAATCCTTTTCAAGTTTTCAGTGAAAATATAGTAAATATGGTATACTCCAAATATAGTTTTTGTAGTTAAGGAGTTCATCTTATTAAAGTGAGAGCCCAGATATTGACGGGATATAGACTAAAGAATAAGAATGTCTAATTTAAATCCTAGCTCTACCACTTACTAGTTGTGTAACTTTAGTCAAGTCACTTAACCTTTCTGGATCTCACTATTCTCACCTATAAAACAGGTTTGCTAATAAATAATACCTACCTGCAAGGGTTGTTAGAAGATTAAAAAATACATGTCAGTCTGTAGCACAGTGCTTTACACATAGTACTGTTAAAAGCTAGCTAGTATTATCTAAATTTTTACAAGGATAAGGACATGTACTACAAAGCCAGTCTGCCAAAAATAGAGATCATTTTTTAAATATAACAAATAAAAGAAAACAATGTATATTCATTCACAGAGAAAGAAAACTAGGACTGCTAATCAACCTGAATATATCCCTATCTATATGTGGCAGGCAACTAAATAATATAAAAAACATAGGTCACTCTGTTGGGAGAAAAATGAAAATTCACAGAATTCACAAAAATTAAGTTAGTCAGGCACAGTGGTGCATGTCTATAATCCCAGCTACTCTGGAGGCTGAGGTGGGAGGACTGCTTAAGCCCAGGAGTTTGAGGCCAGCCTGGATAACATAGCAAGACCCCATCATTTAAACAAATCCTCAAGAGCTAATAAGCAGCCATATATCTGAACCTGGAGTTTAGAATAAAACCTATGTCCTGTCATCAATGGAGAAAAGAAAATGAAACATGGTATGCAAAGGAGGACATCAACTGCAATTACAATCCTCAAGCCTGTAAGTTGAATGTATGCAGGGCCGGCCCTTCACCGAAAAACGAACCAAACCCAGAGAACAGGAGAGAAAGGCAGTAAAAGAAGGAAGGATGAGAATAACTTCAGAAACAGAAGATTCCAGGACTCCCCTTTATTCTAGAAGAATTTCTTATCACTGAAATCCTCCTATCACAACAAAGACTATTATTCAATGAATTTATTTAACATATCGACAAAATAAACCTATTGGCAGTTTACAAAAGCAGAATTCATGTCAGATCAAATAAAGCAACATTTCTCAAACCTGAATATTACATCAGTCACTTTCAAAGAAACATTCTCAAAGATCTAAATGTTGTTTGTTGTTTATATATCAACTTAAAATTAAGTATAACTCCTTCTTAAAATATAGATGACATAAAACAAAAATTTTTTTTTAAATCTACAAGGGAAATACTAAAAACTCTATAAAACCAATAAAATTCAAATGAAGATGAACTTAGTGTGATTAGTTGTAATTAGCTGAAATTAAATTTTACTGATCATATGATTTTACTTGTAGTAAGAATCTGCTTCTAATTGCTATGACACAAGTTCTAGAGTTCGGCACGTTTACACTGCCATGTGCTACAAGGAAACTAAACTCTGTTAACCGCTTTACTCTGTTCCAGAAATTTCTCAAATATGCAAATCACGGTGCATAATTTTAGATATGACACAGATGGAGCATTCCTATTTTAATTATAGTAACTATAGTAAAATGCATATACAATTAGCACCTCACACCCACAATTTGAAGGCTATGTAAAAAAATAATGAGTCCATCTGAAATAAAGAAAAATTGTGAGAAAATAATACTACTATCAGTGGTAATTTGTAATTTAGCAAAAATTGTACAGGGACTGCTTGAATGACTAAAGTTTGGAAACTACTATTCTATGTGCATCATTACCAAGTCTTCATACCAATGCCTTTTGGTATAAATGCAAATTAGACCAAATTATTTACAAATAAAGTCAGCCTCAATACATATTTGAAACCACTAACATTTTAAAGACAAACGAAACTGCAGGCACCAAAATCATGGAACAGTGTTCAAAAGTTATCATTCAAATGTCCCAAAATATGTCTTCATCTAAAATTAAGACTATCAAAATCAAATTTCTCGGTTTTTTTTTGAAAGAGTCTTGCCCTGTCACCCAGGCTGGAGAGCAGTGGCGTGATCATGGCTCGCTGCAGCCTCAACCTCTCACACCCAAGAGATCCTCCTACCTCAGCCTCTCAAGTAGCTGGGACCAAAGCGTGTGCCACCAAACTTGGCTAATTTTTTATTTTTTGAACTTTTTTATAGAGAAGGGGGTCTCCCTATGTTGCCCAGGTTGGTCTCAAACGTTTGGGCTCAAGTGATCCTTCTCACAGAGTGCTGGGATTATAGGCATGAGCTGCTGTGACCGGCCCAAAATCAAATTTCAAAACTAAAAAAATTCTCAGATAATTAATGAACCTACGTGAATTAATCTACAAATTCCAGTTTGAAAAACACTAAAGATAAACAACTGTCAATGTGGAAACATAAAAGTAGTTGTTATTAGGTTATTGTTAAAATGGGGACAACTGGCATACACAGTCCTAAATATTAGTCTAAGGTACTCTCATGAGGTTTATTCAACTCATCTGTATCATTACCCACTTAGGTGGTAACTTCAATTTCTTATTCAGAATTACACTGCTCATCATAAGAAAAAAAAACCATATAAAAAAGCGATCTGAAACAAACCTTTGATGTTTTCATGATCTTTTTCAAATGATTCATGGCCAGAATTCTCACAGGAGCAAGTGGATGATTCAGGCTGAGCATCAAAGAAGTATCAGAATCTGCTAAAAACTACAGGGTTCAACATAGTTATCAAATGATTTCACTTAATCTGAACAGTCTATGATCAAGAATAAAACCCAGAGAAAACCACCCCAAATTGCCCAACATTTTCAGTAACAACCATCTAACTACAGAAAACAAACAAAAAAATGCAAAATCTTTGTTTCTAGAACATCACATGAGTTGATGAAAAAATTTGTATTGTTAATGGTATGATTTCATGTATACTTGTGTCTATGTGTAGGTTTAATTTAGTCAAGTAATTCTACAAAGTAATTTTGTATTTTGTATGCGTATCTGATAAATCACCTAAGATAAATCCCTGTTTTAGCACCTTCCAGAAGACAGAATGCAACTCATCTACATGATATAACAAATAGTGACACTCAAATTCGTGACAACTTAGTTCACTTACGCAATTAGACTAAAAAGAAAGTCTTATCCATCAACCTAAGATTTGGAAATGCAACACCATTAAAAATGAAAGTCTAATTATGGAAGAGAAATACTAAAACAATCATATTTCTCTTCATAATTATCTGTTTTTAAGGCTAAATATAAGAACTCCTGCTTAAATGTCTAACCTCTAGTATAAAGCTTTAGGCTTGAATCACCAGAAAATTTCTCAAGTTTTAATGTGATCATGAAATAGAACCCATCTCCCCCTTGCTAATCAATAATATAAATAGCCATCTGTGGCTGGTACACTGGAAAGCATAGACCTAGATGAAAGACAGAGAATGCTAGAAACCTACATGAGGCCGTCCTCTGATGATTCTTAATGAATATCCCATACAAAATTCTCAAACAATACTTTTCCTGAAATAAGTATCACGTTCATAGTTATGTACAAATTATTGTACCTTTCTCCAATTATTCTATTCCTGCCTCAGAGCCGTACTTCAGGCAACTAGGCAAACTGTAGAAGGTTATCTCTGTAAAATTTTCCACACAAGGGAAAAAAGTGGCAAATTTCCTTCTGGAGCTCTTCACATACCCATACAAATGTACCCCAAATTGTCATAATTCCTTTGGAGAACAACATACCTGATACTTTCCTCCACTTGTAGAAAGAGAAACAAACTGATGGAAAAGCTCTTGTTTTTTCAGATCTGCAATTTCCTTTAAGTGTTCCTCTAATACAACATCTAATGTTCTGGGGTATCTGGGAAGCAATTAAAAAGTGAATTCATTATTCTTAATAAATTTATTAATCTCATACACCATACACATATAAAGGAAAGACATAAAATCTTAAAAATTACTGAGACTGTGACTTAAATTTTAACAAATGTTGTAGGTAAAACCAAATGACATTGGTCAAGTGTGTTACTATGACTACTCCAATAACAAAATAGTCTCTCTATAAAAAATTATACTCTCCATAGCCCCCACACAACCACTATTTCCTCTTATATTTCAAATATTTTTGATTCCGATACTCGCCCCTTCTTGAAGAACAAATTTAAAAAGGACAGTCTCTGTACAATTCAGTATATTAAGATGTGACTTGTGAATCATATCTTTATAGAACAGGAAGTACTTTAGAAGAGCATAAACATACACACGTAACTTACTTGCTTTCTAAAAGCCTAATGAGTGGAAGAAATTGTTCATTAAGCAAAGACACTTTATTAGAATCCATTTCTTCCTGTGAACTATATGAAATATACTCTTCAAATAGAAGGCTGTAAAAAAAAAAACAGAAATATCAGCATACATAAGAGTTACTATTTATTGAGTACCTACTATATTCTAAGTGCTTTAGAAATATTATCTCTAATTGTCATACTTATACAAGGTATAGTTTAATACTTATTTTACAGATAAAGAAACTAGAGGCCTGGTGTAGTGGTTCACACCACTGGCATTATAATCCCAGCACTTTCGGAGGCCGGGGCAGGAGAACTGCTTAAGGTCAGGAGTTCGAGACCTGTCTGAACAACATAGTAAGACTACATTGCTATTTTAAATGGTGCTGGCTCACGCCTGTAATCCCAGTACTTTGGGAGGCCAAGGTGGGCGGATCACCTGAGGACAGGAGTTCGAGATCAGCCTGACCAACATGGTGAAACCTTGTCTCTACTAAATATACAAAATTAGCTGGGCATGGTGGCACATGCCTGTAATCCCAGCTACCAGGGAGGCTGAGGCAGGAGAATCGCTTGAACCTGGGAGGCGGAGGTTGCAGTGAGCCGAGATTGTGCCATTGCACTCCAGCCTGGGCAATAAGAGCGAAACTCCATCTTAAAGAAAAAAAAAAAAGGAAAAGAAACTAGAGTGTAAGTCTTCCAATTTGCTCATGAGAACAGCAATAAAAGGCAACATTCAGTAAGCCCTTCTGTGCCACAGAGTGGGGTTTCACATTTTAAGCCCCAGTCTGATTCTAGAGCCTATGTTCTCAACATTACTACACGTGTATACTCTCCTTTAATTCACAAACCAACCCTCTGAGCAAAGGGGCATGAATGATGCACACCAACACACAGGCACTCTCTTGATCCTACAAAATGGCAAAGCTACATCCAGACTAACCTCCAAAACTTACTATAGCCCTGGAAGTGGTAGGCGCAGAATTTACACCTATGTCTGACCACAACGCCTACATCTTTTCACTGTATCGAGTTGCCCATTAAGAGAAAAAAAAAAAAAAAAAAAAAAAGACTGAATTATCTTTAAAGAAATAATCCTTACTCTATGCTTACCTTCAATATTGTTTCTAAATGACATTTACTGCGTTTTAATTGTGATGTGTTATTTCAGATATTATGGTCCATTTACTAAGAGAAAACTTCAAACGGCCACAAACTGCATTTAGTTATTACCCAAATTTGTCTTAACCACTAACTTTCCATTTTCATCTATAAGCACTAAAGACATGCAAGAAAAATTACTTTTGCTTTTAATGCTGCCAGTTACTGGATTAAGTACTTATAGTTAATGAAATGATACAGACAAAACAAGATATACATTAAAAAGGAATGCTGGGAAATTTCTAACCAATCTTGAAAATTATACTGAGTCACAAAAATGTAAATCAAAAGCATGTCAAAAATAATAGCTTACCTAGCCAACAAATGGTCTAAGTTGTTCTTCAGTGATATTTTTGTAAGTATAGCTTCTAAGTGTCTCTTGTAGATTTGACCATCCATTCCTTCAGTTTCTTCTCCTTAATATGTAAAAATTAAAATTGTGTTGGGAAAAATTTATTTTGCAAGCTAACATTATTAAATTCACTTATAGCAGAAAATCGTTCTCAGAATAAAACACACACACTGATATCCAGCTTTTTATCTATTTGCACAAGTGCATTCCACTTATTTAGTCATTTATATTTTTTAAAGCTCTTTTGTATAGATCACCTTCATTTTTCTTTTATCTAAAATTCTCTATTTTTAACAAGTACTATCATGCTTATAACAATAACAAAACAAAAGTCCAAAATTAGTCTTTCCCCAGGTCACATTACAAATTAGTTGTGATGGTGCCAATCAACTATCTCTGAAAAGAGGTTAAACTTTTATCTCAGTACCCACCCCCTTACTGAACCAAAAGCTGTCATCTATTTCAGATTTATAATAAACATATGAATCTGATCTTAGCCCTTGCTTTCAAAGACTGGGACATTACTCATTACCTTCAGAATAGGAAGAATACATTTTCATTTTGCTAGTCACTTTTCTAAAATGCATGTTCAAACCAAGATTTGGTTACAAAAACCTCATTTTTCAGTAGACTGACATAAGTTTAGAGAAGTCTTTCTTAGTATTCTCCAAGTAGCAACAGAACCAAATGTTTCTTCCTAGCCTTTCTGTATTTATTAAAAGACATAATGCAAATAATCACTTTCTAATTATTATTATTATTTTTGAGATAGGGTCTCACTCTGTCGCCCAGGCTGAACTGCAGTGGCACAAACACAGTTCCCTGTAGCCTCGAACTCCCTGGACTCAGGTGATCCTCCCACCTCAGTCTCCCGAGCAGCTGGGACCACAGTTGCATGTCACCATGCCCGGTTAATTTTTGTATATTTTTGTAGAGACGGGGTTTTGCCATGATCTGCCCATCTCAGTTTCTCAAAGTGCTAGAATTATAGGTTTGAGCCACCTGGCCCTCTAATTATTACTTTTTGCTTTTTGCTTTGTTTCATAATTTGGATTTTTATGTATAAAAATTTTCTTGGTCTTATATTTTTAATTACTCTAGGGAAAAAACTTTTTTGGCAACTGGATGAGATATTCATTATAAATGAATCACTAAAGTTCATTAAATACCTAAATGAGAAGGCAAAGGTTTACTCAGTAATAAATTTTAAAAGTATTCCAGTCTTTTTCATGTAGAGACTATTTAAGTATTTAAGAACACAGATCTTAAAAAAAGTAAAATTCTAAGAAATTACTCAATTAACAATGATCTTTCTTCAACCAACCTGCTCCCCACCCCAGATGTTTCTCACTTAAGAAATAGACAAGTTACACAAGAACAACTGGAAAACAGAAATTTTAAATATTTTGAAGCTGTTAACCAGGATATGGTTACTATTTTAAGATCAAATCTTAGAAAATTTCTGGACAAAAAATATAAAACCACACACCTGTAACATGATGAATGATGGAGACGACCAGATGGGGAAGCATGTAATGCAGAAGAGGACTGACATCGTAAGTTTCAGAAATCCCATGAAGTATTGTAATAAGATCAGGAACATTACATAAGTGAGGGAATGGCCTTTGAAGAAGCAAAAGTACATATCGTGTTGACTTTACAAGTTAGACAATGAGTAACAATATAAGAAAATATATAATCACTTATCTTACAAAAAAAAATTATTCAAAATAATTTTATTCACCTCTGACTAGCACCATTTCTCAATTCAATTGTACATACTTTTTCCCAAGGCTCTCTGGCTTCTGTCTCTGCAGGAGCACTATCAAGCAACTTAACCCATCCTTGATCAAAGAGGGAATCTTGGTCAATGTTTTGATGATCTGTGATGCCAATGAATTCACAAAGGTATTTTCCATGGTCACTTTCACAGAAATCTGACATATTATCATGTATGTTGCAGCTCTGTAATCTGGTAAAGATGATTTCAATCCCTAAATATTTTTTAAATATAAGGAAAAATGATAAACCATATTATTTTCTGCTACTTTAAATGTTAATCTGACAAATTAGAAATGTCATAGAGATTAATACAACCTAATGCATAGTCAATCACTCTTCAGACATAAACAATAAAGGAGCTGACCCCTTTTTCAGAGTGGATACAGAGATGAGACAAGTCTGTTGAACGAGACAAAGGATCTCAGAAAATTTCCCAACTCAAACATCTACCACATGTCCTGACAGGAGCCAGTAAGCTCTTCTTTTATACATAAAATCCTACTTATAGTAGGGAGACCTCAATCAGATCACTAATGGAAGAAACAAGTCTGATGAAAGGTCACAAGTTGGGACACTGGTGGGAAGTGAAAGCAGTACCTCCACAGGGCACCTGGGAAGGCAGCAGGCAAGAAGGCACTTGGGAAGGAGAAACGCTGAGAGGCAGGAGCCAGTGCACAAAGAATACTGAGAGGTTGCTTACGCCTCAAAGAGACTGTCTGCTCCGTCCTCCTTCCAGTGAGGTACAAAGACTGCTATGGAAATCAATCTAGGAGATGGCCGCAGGACCAGACAGCCAATATTTATTCTTAAGAGTCCTAATTAAGGTCCCAGGCCAGTGAGTTTCTAATAAAAAAGTGTCATATTTTCAACCTAAAGGCTAAATCTCAGCTATCATCTGAAATAAACTGTCAATTTAAAAACACTTAAATCTAAAAAAACTTTCGAAAGCAAGAAAATTCCTTTAAGTACAAAATAATCTACTTAACACATCAGCAGTGCCAACCTTTTGGATATAGGGAAATAGTTTGGCGATGATATTGTCTGATACGTCCTCTGCAGCTACCAGCGCCGACACTATGGTAGAAGCATAGAAAGCCAAGAGCACCCTCAACTGAGCTGAGCTGCCCGGGTACTCAGCAAAAACCTGAAACAAGGAACACAAACAAAACACATTTAACAGTGAAAGGGAGGTAGAAGGATTGCTTGAGGCCAGGAGTTCAAGGCTGAGATTTCAATGAACTATGATGGCACCACTGTACTCTAGCCTGGGCGACAAAGCAAGTCCATGTCTCCAAAAAAAAAAAAAGTGAAAGGCCAAATAAATATTTACAGCTCTCCTGAATTACCATATGCAACAATGAATACACAATGTGACAACAATTAACTGCCTAATGATATTCCTAACATTTTTATTTAAAAAAAAATTTTTTTTTTTTTTTTTTGAGATGGAGTCTCTGTCGCCCAGGTTGCAGTACAGTGGCATGATCTTGGGTCACTGCAACCTCCGCCTCCCAGGTTCAAGCGATTTTCCTGCCTCAGCCTCCCGAGCAGCTGGAATTACAGGCATGCCCCACCATGCCCAGTTTATTTTCGTATTTTTAGTAGAGACGGTGTTTCACCATGTTGGCCAGGCTGGTCTCAAACTCCTGACTTCAAGTGATCCGCCTGCCTTGGCCTCCCAAAGTGTTGGGATTACAGGCGTGAGCCACCGCACCTGGCCTTAAAATTTTTTAAACAGCTTTCCCAGGTTGAATATTCCCGACATTTCTAGACACTCTCTTTGAATAGTCACTGTAACTAGAATCTGGCAAGGAATAGACATTTATTTTTGTAGAAAAACACCTTTGGTGATAAAAGACTGATTCTTAAAAAAAAAAAAAAAGATACGGACTCTCAAACTGCTCCTGCTTCAAAACACCAGACCATTTAACAAAATAAATTTATCCAAAGTATCATTGTTATTAGGGAATGTTTTAGTATGTTTTCTTCATTCAAAGCAAGCAATCTTTTCATAAAATTATATACTCATGAAACAGACTGCTCACCTTCACAGATTTTGTCACCAAACTGCAAATGAAATCCATGAATCCAAGATCTTTGTAGCAGTGGGTAATCAAAGTTCCTTTAGCTAACGGCACTCCAGATTGCTGTTATTGATGGAAAGAACAAACTACTAGCAACATTCATCAACTGATCCTTATTTTAAAGCATTTACCCTAGTAATGTCTTCATACTGCTACAATTCATAAATAAAAAATATAATCTCTCCTTATAACTGGTGGTGGTGATGAAATTAACACATAAAATCATGTAAACTTAGAAATTCAAAAGAGAAGGTCAGCAATGAGGGCAGAGGTATTTAGTGAAAGATGTTTGCTTATCGTATGTCACATTTTGAAAGGTATTTATCAAAATCTGGATTCTCTAGATTCTTAGTAACTTTACTGGTTCGATTTGGTTTCTGAGCCACTATGATACGCTTCTGTCATTGCTTTACAATAACACTAAGAACAGAAATAGACTAGGAAACTGCACAACTTATACCACTATTCCCACCATCTAGCGTTGTACATGGTATGTAATAGATGCTCCATAAATACTGATTAAATAAATGAAAGGAGAATTTTAAGTGAACTTTAGTAGGTGAGTGGAGTTTGGCTACCTGCAATAAGAGTGCCTAGGGAGCAGCAAGATCCAAGGTAGATTAGAGGAAGAATAATTTTGATGCTATGGGCAGAGTGAATGTTGGGAAGAGCAGTTAATGAGCTTTATCAAAGGCTGGCCTTCTCCAACATTCTTTAGTTCAAGTGCTTTACGTTCAGATTCTTAAATTCTCCTTCTAATTAAAAAGTCCTCATTACTCCTATCTTACTAATTCTGAACACTGACCCCACTACCATCATCAGCCTAATGTGCACAGCCTCGTGATCTGTTAGCTTACCTTCATCCCCATTTGCCTCCCCCCCTACCCTGGATCACCATGCCCAACATGCAGTCAAGTTCCTGCTAACAACATACATCTACTTTCCTCCACCATATGTTGCAAACAAAGTGCTAACGGTTAGTCAGTTGGTTTTCCTACAATAGCATGCTGTCTTTTCTTACCCAGACCCTTCCTGTTATACAAGCATCCTTTTCTTAGTCTGTAAATTAACTCCTAGCATCTTCCTCACAACTTTAGTAAATTCTTGAAACCCCTGAAGTTATCCTTATCCTTTTAATTTTTGTAAGTATTTTCTGCCTTTCTTCACCTTCAACTTTTTTTTAAGTTCTCAGTTCCAAATTTAAAATGCCAAACGGCATGGTACGATACAAAGGCACAGACTCTGGAATCAGATTTGGGTTCAAATCTCAACTCTGCCACTTTATAGTTATGTGAACTTTGGCAAGTAGCCTGTCCTCATCTGTAAAAATGAAGTTTTGTGATAATCCAAGATAATATAATGTACATTGCCTAGCCTGATGTCAGATACTAAATAAAAGCTAAATATTATTAACATTAATAATAGTTTCAATTGGAAGTCAGGAAATAAAAATGATGGAGGTAGTTATCTGGACTATCCCCAGGAGCAATGACTTATTTTTTCCTAATTAAATCCCTTAATCAAGATCTGTAATGATTACAGACATATGTCATTCAGCAATTATACCTTAACTGGCAACAACCAGAACCATCTGTGCTTTGAATTATTAATTTTTAGAAGCTGTATGACTCGCACAAATATTCTTGTCTCGTGGTATGGCAGAACACAAGCAATGAGGCTATCTTGATTATAGAGATGTATATGGAACCTGGGGAAAAAAAGCAAACAGTCCAACTGAACACAAAACTTAATAATAAGCACCTATTTCCTCACATGCCCAAACTGTATTATTAATAAGCTAAAACAACCTAGAACGAGTAGCAGTAAAAATCACAAAATTATAAGATACAGAGCATTTAAAAAGTCCCCAATTTTGCATTCACATATCCCTCAACATGGTCCAGCCAATTCCTATGCAATATCTTTGAATATTCTACATCAAAATATACATCCCATTAACTTTCTCTCAGCTTTACAATTTTTATTTAATTTTTTGAATAGAGTCTTGCTCTGCCACTCAGGCTGGAGTGCAGTGGCACGATCACGGGTCACTGCAGCCTCAACCTCCCAGGCTCAAATGATCCTCCCACCTAGGTCTCCTGAGTAGCTGGGACCACAGGGGAGCACCATCACAGCTGGCTAATTTTTTATTTCTGTGTAGAGACTAGGTCTCCCTGTGTTGCCCAGGCTGGTCTGTCAACATTTTTTTTTTTTTTTTTTTTTTTTTTTTTGAGAGGGAGTCTTGCTGTTGCCCAGGCTGGAGTGCAGTGGCACAATCTCGGCTCACTGCAACCTCCACCTCCAAGTTTAAAAGATTCTCCTGCCTCCGCCTCCCAAGTAGCTGGGACTACAAACTCATACCACCATGCCCAGCTAATTTTTTTTTTTTACTTTAGTAGAGATGGGGTTTCACCATGTTGCCCAGGCTGGTCTCCAACTCCTGAGCTCAGGCAATCTACCTGCCTCAGCCTCCCAAAGTGCTAGGACTACAGGTGTGAGCCACCATGCCTGGCTAAGATGTTTTTTCTAATTCTGCCAACTGATCCCTCTTCTGTGAAAACTCTCCTATCCTTTTACATCGTGTACTTTTTTTAAACAGTACCATACATTGCCTTTTATTAGATTTTTTTTTTTTTCCAGAGTCTACTTGGTCACCCAGGCTGGAGTGCAGTGGTGTGATCTCAGCTCACTGCAACCTTCGCCTCCCAAGTTCAAGCGATTCTCATGCCCTAGCCTCCCAAGTAGCTGGAATTACAGGTGCACAGCACCACACCCAGCTAATTTTTTTTTGTATTTCTAGTAGAGACAGGGATTCACCATGTTGGTCAGGCTCGTCTCAAACTCCTGATCTCAAGTGACTGGCCTGCCTCAGCCTCTCAAAGTGCTGGGATTACAGGCGTGAGCCACTGAACCCAGCCTCTTAGTTTGACATACGGTTTTAGCGGTTACTTTTTCCATGAAGCTTTCTTCAACTATTCCAGGCAGAACTATATCCACAAAACTCTGCTTAATCCTTTATTATGGCATTTATTTCAAAACAGTAATCAACGGCAACCTACTTATCTATGTACTGAACTTAGTATTTGCTGAATAAATAAGTTATCTGAAGACATAAAATGAAAAATCAAATGCAAAAAGTATTCCTTACATTAATGATCTATTTGGGGGTAAAGTTAGGTGCTAGAAAACAGATGGAAATATTACAGACTTTTAAATATTCTTTGTCTGATTGCCCTAATGTTCTGACAATCAGAAGACCCAAGTTAAAATCATGTTTTCTTGATGACTCACTTGCTTCTTGAAAAAAAATTAGTTTATCCCCACGTCTCCATTTTTTGTTTTTTTTTTTTGATACGGCGTCTCCCTGTTACCCAGGCTGGAGTGCAGTGGCGTGATCTCAGCTCACTGCAAAATCTGTCTCCTGGATTCAAGCAATTCTCCTGCCTCAGCCTCCCAAGTAGCTAGAATTACAAGTGCTCGCCACTGCGCCCAGCTAATTTTTGTATTTTTCACACAGACAGGTTTTACCATGCTGGCCAGGCTGGCCTTGAAGCCATGTCTCCAATTAATGGAATAGAAATCTACTTTTAAAACATGTAAGTTGGACTGGATGTGGTGGCTCATGCCTGTAACCCCAGCACTTTGGGAGGCCGACTCGGCAGGAGGATCGCTTGAGGCCAGGAGTTCCAGACCAGCCTGGGCAACAAAGTGAGACACTGTCTCTACAAAAAATGGAAAAACAAAAACAAAAACAAACAAACAAAAAAAAAACTAGGTGGGCATGGTGGTGCATGCCTGTAATCCCAGCTACTTGGGTGGCTGAGATCGGAGGATCATTTGAGCCCTGGAGATCGAGTGGGCCACGATCACACCACTGCACTCCAGCCTGGGTGAGTGAAATCCTGACACTCAATAAAATAAAAATAAAAAGACAGCCGTGTGCAGTGGCTGTGGTGGCTCACACCAGCACTTTGGGAGGCTAAGACGAGTGGATCACGAGGTCAGGAGTTTGAGACCAGCCTGGCCAACGTGATGAAACCCCATCTTTACTAAAAAAAAAAAAATACAAAAAATTAACTGGGCGTAGTGGTATGTGCCTGTAATCCCAGCTACTTGGGAGGCTGAGGCAGGAGAATTGCTTGAACCTGGGAGGTGGAGGTTGCAGTGAGATGAGATCGTGCCACTGCACTCCAGCCTGGGCGACAGTGCGAGACTGTCTCAAAAAAAAAAGACATACATATTGGGAGAATAAATAAAACAAAAATGTGTATGCTGTGATGTGACACCAATATGTGAGAAAATAAACTAAGCTTACTGAGACAATTCCCAAAGCAGATAAAAGATCAGACCTTGGAAATAAACTTCAGCTGTATCCTAGCTCTGCCACTTACTAGCTGTGTGACTCAAGAAACTTAATCCCTCTAAGCCTCAGTTTTCTCAACTGTAAAACAAGGATAATACAAATAATCTCACCAGAGGAATGCTGTGAGAATTAAATGAGATAATGCAGATAAAGTGCTTACCAGGGCCTAGTGTATAAATGCTCAAAAACACATTAGCTATCATTGTTTTTCTCAAGCAATGGTATTTCAGAGGATAACATTGCCTGCTTCCCCAACCATCTTGTTATTTTGCCAAGAAAGCAGCTTAGTACTCACTGCCTCAAGTGTGCAGGAACAAGCTGTAATGGCAAAGTAGCATGGGCTCTTCAGAACTAACGAGGTTAGGCTGGGCGAGGTGGCTCACACCTGTAATCCCAGTATTTTGGGAGGCCGAGGCGGGTGGATCACCTGAGGTCAGGGGTTAAAGACCAGCCTGGCTAACACGGTGAAACTCCATCTCTACAAAAACACAAAACTCATCCAGGCATTATGGCAGGTGCCTGTAATCCCAGCTACTTGGGAGGCTGAGGTGGGAGAATCACTTGAACCTGGGAGGCAGAGGTTGCAGTGAGCCAAGATTTCAATATTGCACTCCAGCCTGAGTGCCCAGCAAGACTCTATCTCAAAAAAAAACTAATGAGGTTAGACCATTTACTCAAAATCACCAGTAGTTCTACTTTTCACTATCAACAAAAAAGAATTTAAAGGCAGAAGAGCATGCTTATCTCACACAATGGACATTGTATCAATCTCTTAATATACCTAATTTTTCAGCTTTAATTTGATAAGTTCTCAACTACTTAATTTTTTACAAGACCAAAGTGATTAACCCATAGTTATTTCTGTAATTCTATTAGCTACCTGTGAATCAACCACTCCAGACACTTCTGTGCTGGCTTAAGCAGGAAGTAAGGCGACAAGTGAATAAGGAATAATGAAATGTTTTCATCCAACTGTTTGTTTACTGCTTTGGTCTGAACACTTCGCTCCAAGGTTTTTGCTAGCTGACTGAACAACGGTGCTTCAAACTGCTCAAAGGAAGGATCAATTCCAAGCAACTCTTCCAGGCCAGTACATCCTAAATTTCAAAAAAGGCCAGTTTATTTAACAATTCTTCGTAAGCAAATTCATCCCACCCCTCTTTTACAGTTTTACTTACCCCTAAGAAGTTTCTGAATTCTTTAAGTACATATAATTTATAATACAGTCCCAAACACTGATTTCTAGTTTTCAACTTTTAGAGTAAATCCTATCTCATCTACTAGAACAGAAAGTACTTCGTGGCAGGGAACACTTTTTTTTTTTTTTTTTTGGATATCCCCTACAATAACTAGGCCAGTCCTCTGAGAGGACTTCTCCGTCACCCCAGTCACTGCCTCCATCCCCCTTTTAGCTGTTCTTCTCTTTGACATATTAGTTGACCTCTCTAATTTTGTTTCTTCATCTGTGAAATCCAGATACCTCTACTCATAAACATTTCAAGCACCAAGCACCTGACTGTTATGTTCTCTTTCCCTTAAAAATATACATCAACATGCTAGAAACTGCTAAGGAAGAGGACGGGACAGAAGAGAAAACAAGGGGAAAAAAAAAAAACAGTAACATCCAGAAAACAAACGCTTCCAAGAGCTTTTCTAAGTTAAAAGATGGCTCACCAATGGCGAAGGCGGTGTCCCTGTCGATTGTGGCCGCTTCCTTAGGGTCAAATAACAAAGAAGCAACTTCATCTCTAGATAAGAGGCTGGCATCACTTTGAGGGAGGGCGAGTCGTTGCAGCTGCTGGGCTAAGGACGTCATCTTTCACGCCAGCGGAGTTTTAATGACACGGGCTAAAAAAACGTAAGCACTTTGATAAGTTTCTACGAAATTATAAGGCGCCTCGTAAACAAACAATTCTCTTCTGCACTCAGCACCGTCATGGACACACAACGCGGGTGTCCTGAGATTTGTGGACCCCGGAGATGCAAAGACGATGGCAGCAGCGTTAACAACTAATTACAGTAGCGGCGACCGCGCCAAGGCTTTCCTTCAACCCTGATTCCGCAGATATCCGGAAAACTCTTACCCTCCCTCGATATGCCGCCCCCATCCGCAGCCACATCAAGCGGCTCTGTGCCGCTTACCTGGAACTGGGAATTTGGGTATATCTTGGAAGGCAACAACTCTTCACAGCGCTTCCCACATGGTACCAAGGAGCCCAACCCTCACCCGGAAACCTAAGGCATGCTGTAGAGCAACTTCCTGCTGCAGGCGCTACGGCAAGTGAAGAGGTTCAAGCTTGCCGGGAATGCGACGAGACAGCTCCGCCTCCCGAGACGAAAGCCCGCCCCTCAGCCCGCCGGACTCAGGCTCAAGTCTGAGCTTCGCCTCTGTAGCTCCGGTTTAGCGGTCTGCTCTGCGGCTTGTGTCTGAAGCTTTCGGTCTCTGGATGGGCCTTCTGTGGGCTTTAAGGATCCGTAGCCAGAATCATTCATTCAGTAGTGATCCAGCCTTTACTAGGTGCCAGCAGCACCGCGTAGTGTTGAAAGCTATGGGTTGTGAAGTCACGTGGTTTGGGTTCAAATCCTGGCGCTGGCGCCTGTCGGCCGGGTTAACGCCACCAAATTATTTCATCTCTCCGAGCTTGTTACTCACTCTACAAAGTGGGAAGAGGCCGAGATTGTCGTGAAAGGAGCTTCTGCTCCTAGTGCAAACCGATCTATAAATGCTGGACTCCACCGCCCCAGAGCTTGGGGGAGATCTTGTCACTCCTCTATGTTTCCATTCCCGAGGGGTAAATGGCATATATTTTTTTCTTTCAAAACGAATCATAGTCAGGCGCGGCCTGTAATCCGAGCACTTTGGGAAGCTCAGGCGAGCTGATCACCTGAGGTCAGGAGTTCGGGACCAGCCTGGCCAACATAGCGAAACCCCGTCTCTACTAAAAATAAAAGAATTAGCCGGACGTGGTGGCGGGCGCCTGTAATCCCAGCTACTAGGAAAGCTGAGACAGAAGAATCGCTGGAACCCGGGAGTCGGAGGTTGCAGTGGGCCAAGATTGCACCACTGCACTCCACAGAGCGAGACTGTCTCAATAAATAAATTAATCGAATCCTGTTGAGGTATAATTTACAAACAATGGTTACACCCACGTCAGTGGAAGAGTTTGATGACTTTTAGCAAATGCATGTATAGGTGTAATGACCTCCCCAGTCAAAATGACAGTTTCCATCGCCCCTAAAAATTGTCTCTTGCCTGTTTGCGAAGATTCCCGCAACCACTGGTCTTGGCCTCACTACAGATAGTGTTGCGGAAGAGTATCCTTATGTATGAATATAGCTAATCTGTTTCCAAAACACCGGTATGCGCTAGAACTAGGATGAACTGACGTCTTCCAGACGAAGGAGTGAGATCTGATGCTCTGTCTTTTCTGGATGCATTAATTTCTCTGAAGAGCTCTGCGGGGCCAGGGGGTCAAGTCTTTCTGTAACCGTCTTCCCTGGAGAATGTCAGAAACACAGCTACAAATTTGGAGGCCCTGGTTGTCTATACCTCATGCAGATTCTCTCCCATTTACAAACAGAATCTTTTGTTGTTGGTTTGCTTTAAAAGCATTTAAAACAACCAAATATTTTCTTCAGTTATTAGTATTTCTACTGACTGTTAATAATCTTCTTTTCATGTGGTGTTGAGTGCCTTGCAGAGAATAACATGAAAATTCTAGTAGTACCTATTTCATTCTTACAAACATATCTCTCAAAGGAATTTTTTTTTTCTTTCTAACATGTCACAGGAGTTTTACCTTTACAGAAGCAATCAGCTTTCGGTACTTTAAAAGAAATGAACACCAGGTCTGTTTCATTGATAAGATAATTTGCTTTTTTTGCTTAAAAAATACCCTATATATTTTTTAAAAGCTTTATTTAAGTGAAACTTGAAAAAGTGCTACAAAGATTTGACTCAGTCCTTCCTATGTCAGCTGTGATGGTGTATAGTGCCATGCCGAATTTTACTTTGGAAAGTAAAAAGGAAAACAAGTCAGATGTTCATAAATGTAATTTTTTTTTAAAAAAAAGCTTTGGTTTTAAAAAAAATGTAATAATCTTGAATTATATATTTTTATCTGACGGACAGATGTACCAAGCTGGTATTTTCTTCATAGCCATTATCACTACTTGAAATGACCTGATTTGTCTGTTTGTTTACCTGTTTATTTCTTGTATTCCCTCACTATAATATTGGCTTCAGCACGTTGGCATAAAGCCCATCCCTAAGACTTATGGAGCCTGAGAAAGAGTACAGATGGACTCACTGCTGTAGGTGTAAATATTTAAAAGTTATAAATTAACTTAACACATTATTAACTAGGATATGCTATAACTCTCAATATTGGTGAGTAAACATTTATAATGGCAAAATAAAAATGTTTTTACATAGATGAAAATCAGCAAAATCTGATTGCATTTAATTATATCATTCCTGTCCGGGTGTCCTATTGATTGGCTGATTATTTTGGATGAGTGATAAAGACATCTATAGTTAATACATTTCCTATATATTTAGCCCATGAAAATTTACCTTCATTTCAGCAAAATTACCATGTATGCTGTTTGATCAAGATTTTCATGTAATTGTGTTCTATCAGAAATAATGATCAAAAAGGATTAAAAATAAAATTTAATTATATTCCAAACATATAGTTTGAATGTTTCAATAAAAATATAAATTAAATTAAAAAGCAATACATTAAATCTTTTTCACTTTTTTCAAAAGATTTACCTTTCTTATAAGATGTAAAGTATAATTAGTGACAATATTTTTTTTTTGTTTTGAGATGGAGTCTTGCTCTGTCGCCCAGGCTCGAGTGTGGTGGCGTGATCTCAGCTCACTGCAACCTCCGCCTCCCAGGTTCAAGCAATCCTCTGCCTCAGCTTCTCAAGTAGCTGGGATTACAGGTGCCTGCCACCACACCCAGCTAATTTTTGTATTTTTAGTAGAGACGGGGTTTAATTAGTGACAAAATTTTAAGTAAAATAATTTAAATAAATCTAAAGTTGTATTTGTTTTTTTGGTAAATATTACTTAATGAAATTGTTCATTAAAGTAAATTACTCACAAGCGTATCATTCAATGTCCACCTAGTTGCCAGTGTAAAGAATTGGTATCACCCTTTGTTCATGTTATGTCTGTATCTACCTATTTTCAAATTTCAGAGTCATGTGAATTGTTTAATATTGTTAAATGTTCCTCAGCAACCATATCTGATTGTTGAGAATTCTACACTAATTCCTGAGTATATCCAGAACCATAAATTGGGGGGAAAAAAAGGAAATAAGAAATTCCATGTTTGGAACTACTTAGATATAATACTTTATAATGCAAAAATATGTTCATGTAGTTTGAAAGGAAAAGTGTGACAAATTAACTTTTCTTTTCTCTTACCTAAGCATTTCTGTATTCAGCATCCTGGTCGGGTCCCGGCCAGGTGCGGTGGCTCATGCCTGTAACCCAGCACTTTGGAGGCTGAGGCGGGCGGCTCACCTGAGGTCAGGAGTTTGAGACCAGCCTGGCCAACATGGTGAAACCCCATCTCTACTAATAATACTAATCCTGACTCTACTAAAAAAAAATTGGCCGGGCGTGGTGGCGCACGCCTGTAATCCCAGCTACTAGGGAGGCTGAGGCAGGAGAATCTCTTGAACCGGGAGGTGGAGGTTGCAGTGAGCCGACATCGCGCCGTTTGCACTCCAGCCTGGGCAACAAGAGCGAAACTCCGTCTCAAAAATAAAACGAAACAAAAAACAAACAAAAAAACAAATTCTCCCTATGCTCTTAGGCAGCGTCCGGAAACAGTACAATCCACGGATATTCAGTGTATTCAGACAGGGTTGTCTTTTACTTTCAGGACAAGGGACAAGAGACCTATTTCCCACAAACTTAAATGCATAAATCATGAGGGTCTATGTTTAGGTTTATAGGTTATGCCACAGTAGTGCTAAATGGCAGGTTTTGAAAGGCAGGTTCCCACATTTTTAAGCAAATTTATTTTGTATGATTTGTGATATGCAGAGATCACGATCTAAGGATGATGTTGAAGACTTTCTCGTGTTTACTACTAAATCCTAACTACCAAATAAAGTACCTGGAACGTGGTTAACAATACATATTTATTTATCGAATGAATGAATGAATATAAATGTGCATAAGCTGTATCTGTATCTCCTTCCTGTTCAAGAAATGTGTATCAGAATTCAAGTGAATAAGTGTAGCATTATTATAGGAATAACTTAGAATTATTCTAACTATAATAAAAGTAAAATTTTCACAAACTTCAAAGTTTAATTATTAGTAGAGTGTTTACATCATATATCACAACTGATGGGATACCATCCACTTGAAAATATATCTGTTGCTGGGCTCAGTGGCTCACGCTTGTAAACCCAGCAGGTTGAGAGGCCAAGGCTGGCATATCGCTTGAGCCCAGGAATTCAAGACCAGTCTGAGCAACATGGGGAAACTCCACCTCTGCAATGAGCACAAAAATTAGCCGGGCATGGTAGCACGCCCTGGGAGGCTGAAAATGGGAGGATCAGTTGAGCCTGGGAGGATCAATTGAGCCTGGGAGGCAGAGGTTGAAGTGAGCTGAAATTGCACCACTGAACTCCAGCCTGGGTACCAGAGGGAGTCGCAAAAAGTAAAAAGAAAGAAAGAAAGAAAAATAACGAGAAAAGAAATAGGATGTGTGTAATTAGCAATGTAAAGTCAACATATGAAATCTACATTTTGGCAATATGCTAAAAAAAATTGACTAGTTAAATGATTGAGAAGTATGTGTTTCGTCATATTGCATCCCAAACAAATTTATTTGCATTTTTATAAGCTTGAGCACTTGTGCTCTTGCTACCAAAAAATTTATAATTTTTTTTTTTTTTTTTTTTTTTGGTTATTTTGAAATGTACTGGGAGGGAGCTAGGAATTAAAAAAAAAAAAAAAGATTTGGAAATCAACAGGAGCAAGTTCCTGAAACATCTTTGGAAACCGGCAGGTGGCACCAAAGCATTTTCCTGACCCCAGAGGGCATTCAGGGTATCCCCAGTTGCCTCATGGAAGTATCAGTTTTCACACTTTTTAAAATGGAAAATTATATACAATTATCTAAAAATTGGTTCATGAAAGCTTCCATGTGTCATAAAAATGCCATAAAAATAATGCCTTCGAAGGTTGTTTAGAGAACTACAGGACTTAACAATATTTAGATATTCTTGGCTAATGAGAATCATTCAAAGTCATTGTTTAATAAATACATTAAATTTAGATGTGGGTAGCCTGAATCCCTTTCTTCTCTCATCCTCACCACATTCTAAGTTAGCTTCTATTGACTATTTGCCACTGGGGACACTTCTTATTGATGAGGGCAATGGTGAAGTAGAGAACTGGGAAAGCCAGCAGGTGAAACCAGCATATTTATCATATAAATATGGTAGCAAAGAATTATCCAGGACAGTTTTGGGGAGGAGATGAGGGACAAAGGACTTGGTTCTATGTGAGATGGTTTTGAAGGGAAATTTGGGACAGAAAGAGTTTTGGGAGGAAGTTGGAGAGAAGGGCAACTCCCTGTGTGAGATAATATTACATACTAGATGGATAGGAAATAGAGAGAAAAAAAGATTTTTGTTTTATGTTTGGATTCTTCCTTAGGTATTCTTAAAAGACTTATGTGAAAATTTCAATTTATTTTTAGTTCTATTTGAGAGTGACTAGTATTTCTTTTTTTCTTTTGAGATGGAGTTTCACTCTTGTCCACCAGTGGTATGATCTCAGCTCACTGCAACCTCCACCTCCCAGGTTCAAGAGATTGTCCTGCCTCAGCCTCCCAAGAAGCTGGGATTACAGGTGCCCACCACCACCCCAGGATAATTTTTGTATTTTTAGTAAAGAAGGAGTTTCACCATGTTGGCCAGGCTGGTCTCAAACTCCTGACCTCAAGTGATCTGCCTGCCTCAAACTCCCAAAGTGCTAGGATTACAGGTGTGAGCCACCGTGCCCAGCCACTAGTATTTTTTATAGTGAAATTCTATGTTGTGGCTGGTTTCGAGACCCAGTAAGCCAGTCTAGTTTTATGTGGGTTATTGGAAGAAAGAGACAAAGATATCAGTATTTCCTAGTTACATGATTATATACCTAGAAAAGCCAAGGATTCCATTCTATAAACAGCTGGAATCAGTATGGAATATAGGAAACTAGGCAGCGCAAATATACACACACAGATACATATATAATGTGCTGCCAACATTTATCTACAACTGTAGGAAAATAAGCTGACCAGAAAAAGAGCCAATTTCCAATAGCAACACACACACACACACACACACACACACACACACACACACACACACAGAGTACCTGAGAGTAAATTAAACTTATAAGAAGATCTTCATGAATAAAACTATAAAACCTTATGGAAAATTAAAACAAAAGATTTTTGAGTGAGTGGAGAAGATGGATTGTTATATCAGATGGATTGTTATATTATGTTCCTGGATAGGAAAACTAACGTGTAAAATGCTTATTTGCCAACCCTAAGTTAATTTACATATTTAATTCAGTCTCAAGAAAAATCCCAGAGTGGTTTTTTAAATTTGACAAAATGATTCCAAAGTATATATAAAAGGATAAGTATAGTAGAATACCTTTAAAAAATTCTCGGAGAAACATTTAATGGAAAAATATAACAGGGTATATTAGCATTATCAGATATTAAAAATATGTGGCAAAGCAGCGGAAGGTAAAGGAGTATAGTTCCAGGGTAAAAACTGACAAATAGATCCCCAGGACCAAATAGTTAATTCAGAAATGGACTCCAATATATGTGAGTATTTAATATAGCACAAAAGAAGCATAAAAAAACCATCAGGGCCGGGTGCAGTGACTCACGCCTGTAACCCCAGCACTTCAGGAGACCAAGGTGGGCGGATCACCTGATGTCAGGAGTTTGAGACCAGCCTGGCCAACATGGCAAAACCATGTCTCTACTAAAAATACAAAAATTAGCTGGTTATGGTGACCGGCGCCTGTAATCCCAGCCACTGGGGAGGCTGAGGCAGGAGAATTGCTTGAAACCGGGAGGTGGAGATTGCAGTGAGCTGAGATTGTACCACTGCAGTCCAGCCTGGGTGACAGTGAGACTCTGTCTCAAAAATAAAGAAATAAAAAACCATCAGGGAAGAAAATGTTCACTAATTAATGTTAAGTAATTAACACTAATTAAGTTAAGTAATTTTGGTGGAATAAAAATACAACAATAGATATCCATCTCAATCTATACACAAGAATGGAATCCAGAGTACCTAAATAAATTACGGTTTTGAACAGGATGGAATAACAGAGATCATATTTATTCTCCCATTGGAAGTAACCAAAAAATGGATGCAATATATGAAACAATAGTTTTTAAGACTCTATCATCAGGCAACTAAGTTACTAGTGAGCCCACACAGATATGAAATAAATGAGGTGAGCCTAGGAGTGCCCCAGTTTACTGCCTTGGGAGAGTTTCCAGACAGCCCAAGGAGGAAACCCAGGCAAAGCACAATCAACCCTCTGAGCTGAAGAATATTCAGCCGAGTACTAGTCAGGTCTTCCTTGTGGGAACACTACCCAAAGCTGAGGAAAGAACCATCTGAAAGGATTAGAGGAAGCAATACCTACATTCACAGAGCTGGGAATAGAGCCTGTTCCTACCAGTGAGATTGAAAATCTCATGATTCACAGTGTTGTGCAAAGTATACTGAAGGGTCTGGCCTCACAAGTGAGGAATAATTGGCTCTAGACTGAGCACTGCTCTGGACCCACCTAATACATCTCAAAGCAAAACCTGAAAGATAAAGCCATTTTCAAGACCTAGCCACATTCTAGAACAATGCTCAAGAATATCTATCTGTAGGATATACAAAAATATCCAACACCCAACAAGGTAAAATTCCCCAGTGTCTGGGATCCAATAAAAAAATTACAAATCATGCACAAACCTAAGAAAATACTACCATCATGAGGAGAAGCACCCATTGAAACGGACCCAGAACTGACACAGGTGTTAGAATTAGTCAACAAAGACAATTAGTATAACTATATTCCACATGTTCAAAAAGTTAAATAGAAACATGGAAGGTTTTTTTAAAGAGAACTACATTGAACTACCATAGAAGAAAACTATAATGTATGAGATGAAAAATACACTAGATGAGAAGAATAGCAAAGTAGATATTATAGAGGAAAATATTAGTGAAGTTGAAAGCATAGCAATAGAAACTATCCAAAATGAAACATACAAACACACAGAGAAAAGAGAATTTTTTTGAAATAAACTAAGCAACAATAAATTGTGGGACAACTTCAATGGACTAATCTATGTGTAACTGGAGTGCCCAAAAGAGGCGGGGGGACAAAATATATTTAAGGAGAAAATGGCCATTTTCCAGACTTGAAAAAAAATGACCAATCCATATATCCAAACAACTCAATAAGCACCCACACAAGAAACAGGGAAAAAACGACCTTGAAGCTCATTATACTCAAAATGCTAAAGAAGTTAGATAAAAACTTAAATAGTAGAAAAAGAAGAAATAATAGAATTGCATGTTTATCAATTTTAAGGAGACTATGAGAGACGACGTCCTAGAAGTTTCAGAAAAAAAAATATTGAGGAAAAGATCAGCAGATGTAACTACATATAAACTAAAAATTCAAGTATGTTCTACTTTTTAAAATAGTGCATAAACAAATTAAACAAATTGAAGAGACAAGCAATAGAGTAGAAAACAACAAATGTAGAAGATAAAAGGATATTACATATGCTTATTTGTATGTATATAATACATATCACATAATAATATAATATAATACATGTATAATATAATACATATCCCATAATAATAATTAAAAACACTAAGATTTTAATAAACTGCCAAAACAATAACCAAAAGATTCACATACAACAAATCTAACTATTAAATTTACAGGAAAATGTTCAACCCTGTTAGAAAGAATAATGTAAAGAATAATTTGTAGATTAGAATAATGCATTTTATACCAAAGAAATTAGAAAATTTTTAAAGCAATAGTTTTATAAAGTAATGTTATTTATTATTTCATAATGATAATTTAAGATTTAGTAATATTATTTAAAGTAATATTATTTATTCCTGGAAAAGGCATATTTTAATTCATATTTTCATGCATTACCAGTGATAGTATAAAGTGGTATCAACCTTTCAGAAGCAATTTGGAACTATGCGTCAAGGACTCAACATATGTTCATACCCATGAATTTACTGATTCCATTTCTGGAAATCTTTTTTTTTTTTTTTCTGAGACAGAGCCTTACTCTGTCACCCAGGCTGGCGTGCAGTGGCACAATCTCGGCTCACTGCAACCTCTGCCTCCCGGGTTCAAGCAATTCTCCTTGCCTCAGCCTCCCAAGTAGCTGTGATTACAGGTGCCTGCCACCACATCCGGCAATTTTTGTATTTTTAGTAGAGACAGGGTTTCGTCACGTTGGCCAGGCTGGTTTTGAACTCCTGACCTCAAGTGATCCACATGCCTCAGCCTCCCAAAGTGCTGGGATTACAGGCGTGAGCCACCGTGTCTGGCCTCATTTCTGGAAGTCTTTAACAAGCCAGCATTCCATAGCTGGCTTGTTAAAGACTGTATGGGATGGTGAATTTTAAAAATATATGGTTATATACAGCTAAGTATAAATACAATTTATGTAAGTATATATATTTAAACATAAACTTATAAAAACAATAGTTTGACAGTTTTAAACAAAAATAATCAAGGATTCTTTTTCTAATTTATCTATTGGTACCCATGATTTTTTTACATGATGTCATTTTCCCTTTTAAATCAGCCTCTAATATTTAAACCTTGATATATATAGTTTAAATTTCTTTCCCATAAATGGCTCCACATAAATTACTTGCTAGAGACTATATATTAACAATTATTTAAATACCAATGCACATTTTGGTTTATGCTATTTTAAAGACTTTTTTTTTAGACTGAAATCTAAGGGCTTACTTTGAAGAAGACATTCAGTTCTAAGAGCCAGGTTTCTATAACAGAAGACATAATGGAATGAATTTACTCCTTTAAATTTACTTATAAAGACATTTGGAAATTTTTTATTATGTATGTCAGAGGACCTGTCTGTAAAAGTCATTGTACATGTAAAAATTTTGAGTTACAAGTGAATTGCAAACTTTGAAGAATTTAAGGTCTTAATTAAAGGGTAATATATTTATATCTAATGCCATTATTATTTTTACTTTCAGAAAGTTAAATGGAGGGATATATCACATCCAAAAACTTCAACATTGGACAGGTCAAAATTATTTGAACATTTTGAAGGTTGGAAGGATGATGGTATACCTTTAAGAAACTACTTTGATGGGTACTAGCAAAGTGAGTCCTATCATACTTCACACATATCATTGGTTTTGTGTTTTCATTGAATGTGCTTTCAAATGTTTCAAAAGGTCTCAGAATCTTTAGGGAACCGTGGTTATTGTACAAGCAGCATATCAAAGAAGACTATACAAATAACGATACGATACCTCTCATGCCTCGTTCTTCCAGTAATAAGGAGTTTGGGATCCCTGTGCCCATTGACATTTTTCCCAGAGACGTGATTTGTTAGTAGTTTGCATAATTTGTAAGTGTAGCTTATTTGACAAAGCAGTACTTTGTAGTAATCTGTGCCAAGATCACCAATAAAATGAGTCTTCAAGTAATTTCAGATTCATCACTATGTCATTCAAGGCAAGTCAATTCAATGAACCTTAACTACAGTTCTACAAAATGCCTGGCACTCTAATAAATGATAGAAAGATGGCCAATATACAGGGCCCATGGTTAGCCAGAAAGAAGCCTTAGGAGAGTCTGGTTCAGAAAGGAGGCAGGTCAGATAAACCATGCCAACCATCAGGGTTATAGAGATTGAGGGCATGGAGGGGTCAACCTTCCCTGGGGAGTTCATCTTTCCAGGGAAGATGACATTTGAACTGCATCTTGAAAGGTTGACTAGAAACAAGCCAGGGTATGATACTCCAGGGAACAAATCATTCCGGGCAGTGGGTTGGCATGTAAAAGGCACAGAGACATGAAGCAGAGCATTCGAGGAACTACCAGACTGATCGCACTAGTCCATGGGGTGTGCTAGAAGGAAAAACCAAGGAACCAGTTGGAGCAAGTGATGGAGTTTGGAAATGGAAGATGTTCTAAATTGCAGGTGGTTGATTCTGGCCAAGGAGCGGAGGTTACGTTGGAGCGGCGAAGGCTGATGACAGAGAGACCAGTAACGTGGTGATCGCAATAGTTCAGTACCGGTGTTATGTTAACATTTCAGTAAGTTTCCCTACAGATATCATTTTAAAACAATTTCTTCCATTTTATAGTATAATTGATTGAAATTAAAAGTGTTAAGGGTTTTAAAACTGTGCAAGAAATTTATGAAATAAAAAGAGCTATCAGAAAGGAAGGCACTACACAAAAACTAATGGCAACTAAGAAAGGCTTTGCAGAGCTTAGGGGTAGCTCACCAGTGTCTTAAATCTAAGCCAAACTGCCACTCAAAAGACACTGTAACACTAAATGGAAGAACTGCGTGCTCAAGCCAGAAGGGCACATCAATCAAACTAACTTTCCCCTGGTAGATTTTCCATTGCTCTGTCATAATCTTTTTTTGTCCCCCTTAGGGCTAACTGAAAGTTAGATTAGCATTAGTGCAATATCTATGTGTCCAAAATGTAGACAGAAAGAAGACATTAGCTGAGATGGTTTCATCAGCACAATTATTATCGTTCCTTATAGAGTCCCTGCCAAATGCTGGATTTTGCAAAGCGAGAACTTTTTAGATGAAATACCAAGCTTCTGTCCTTGCTTTATAATAAGCAGTGTTAAACAATTAAATATTTTTAGACTTTGGGTGTGTGTGTGTGTTTGTGTGTGTGTGTTATGTTTTCTCTATTTTAGCTAAACTTGCTGAAAATAGCAACATTTGTCTTCCTTCACTTCAGATAAGATTGACAGGTGGCACTGTCTACATCTCGTCTACCTGGATGCCTTCTACCCCACCTCCTCTGGAACTCGCAGTAGAAACTCTCAGGTCTGGGCATTGTAGCTTCACAGATGGGTCAGGAAGGGCCCAGAAGAGTCCACTGCAACACCAGCCATTTGTGTCTTCAGGTAAAGCAATTATGTTTTCCACAGTTCTGCAGCATTTTCGAAGTGTAAACGTCCTTAGAGACCATGCTATTCAGCTCTTCATTATATAGATGAAGAAAGTTTCAGTAAAATTCCATTTTCACTGATTAGATTGGCAAAGTATAAAAAAGATTTACAATATTCAGTGGTGGTGAAGGTGTAAAGGGGAGCATCTTCGTTCCTGTTGAGGAAAACATCAAGCTGTACATTTTTGGAGGGCAGTTTGGCACTACCTGTACAATAGTTCTTTTGAGACAGGGTCTCACTGTGTCATCCGGGCTGAGTGCAGTGGTTCAATCACGGCTCATTGCAGCTTTGACTTCCCAGGCTCAAGTGATCTTCCCACCTCAGCCTCCTGAGTAGTTGGGACTACAGGTGTGTATCACTATGCCCAGATAATTTTTGATTTTTTGTAGAGATGGGGTCTTGCTATGTTGCCCAGGCTGGTCTAAAACTCCTGGACTCAAGCAATTCCCCTGCCTCAGCCTCCCAAAGTGCTGAGATTACAGGTGTGAGCTACCGTGCCCTGCCACAAATTTAAAATACATATAGACTTTGACTCAGCAATTCTATTTTTAAAAATTTATTTATTTACTTTATTTGATGTTGAACAGGGTTTCGCTCTGTCACCCAGGCTGGAGTGCAGCGGCGTGATCATGGCTCACTGCATCCTTGATCTCCCAGGCTCAAGTGATCCTTTCAACAAGTGATTCTCCTACCTTAGCCTCCCAAGGAGCTGGGAGTACAGGTGTGTACCACAATACCCGGCTAATTTTTTAATATTTTGTAGAGATGGGGTTTTGCCATGTTGCCCAGGCTGGTCTTGAACTCATGAGTTCAAGCAATCTGCCCATCTCAACCTGCCAAAGTGCTGGGATTACAGGCATGAGCCAGCAATTCCATTTTCAGAAAGCTATCTTAAAGAATCCTAATACATATGCATGAGGATATATGTATAGTTGTGCTTATTGAAAAATTTTTAGATGGTAAAAATCTAGTGTCAATCTAAGTGTCCATCAGTGATGGGAATTGTTAAATAAATGAAAGTATCTCTGTGTCATGAAATATAAGACTGCAGCAGGAAAGAATGTCCATGATATACTGTTAAGTGGAAAAAGCAAGTTAGAGGACAATAGTCTGATTCCATTTTTATAAAAAATATTTAAATGCTTATAGAGAAATATACAAAGTGATATATACCAAATTTTTAACAGAGATTATATTATGAGGTAGACTCAGAGTGAGGCAAAGTACATTTTTACTCTATATATTTAAATATTGCTTAAAATTTTTGTAATAAGCATGTATTACTTTCGTCCTTTTTTTAAGGAAGAAAAATCTGAGACTCAGATAAATGAAATAACTTGTTCAAATCACTCGAATGTTTAGTGACAAAGATAAGACCAGCCCCCAGGTTTCGAATCCCAGTCCAGTGCTTTTTCTACCAAACCAAGATCTAAGAGACATTTACCTGAACCTCTGGCTTTCTGTAGATCTAGTCAGATTTTGTATTTCTTCATAAAGTAATTATAAAATAGATAATTTACTGCTTTTATCAAGACATATAAATTTCTGAACCTCTAAACCAACAGTGTATTCCTCTTTAGATTTTTTTCTCTGTATTCTTTGGTTATTCCCGAAGAAATATTCACTTATGGTTACTAGAATGACCAATTTTGACCACTTCCCTAACCACTAATCCACAAACACAGGATTGAAATCACACATTGGGGCCAGGCATGGTGGCTCATGCCTGTGATCCCAGCACTTTGGGAGGCTGAGGCGGGCAGATCACCTGAGGTCAGGAGTTCAAGAACAGCCTGGCCAACGTGGCAAAACCCCGTCTCTACTAAAAAATACAAAAATTAGCCACGTGTGGTGGCAGGCGCCTGTAATCCCAGCTACTCAGGAGGCTGAGGCAGGAGAATCATTTGAACCCAGGAGGTGGAGGTTTCAGTGAGCCGAGATCATTGCACTCCAGCCTGGCCGACAGAGCAAGACTCCATCTCAAAAACAAAAACAAAAGAAAAAAGAAAGAAATCACACATTGGATATTATTCTCTAGCGGAACAGAAGACCCAGACTTTTCCAACAGAGTACGGATGTCTATTTGCAAACTACAGAGGAATTTGCTGTCATGTTTCCTCATCTGTTCTTAGACTATCTTCTGCAGTCTTACTCAACCACAGTCGTTATTTTTAGCCGCATTTTGGTATTCATGATGGATAGCACCACTGCTCTCCATTAAATTAAATTCAATACATGAACTTTTGGTTTACCTTAAAATCTACAGCAATATTAGCTTTTCCCATATGTGTGTTTTTTAAGTTTAATTTTGCTGATTCAAAAATTCAAGTGTAGGGTTAGATTTTTCAAACCTTAGGAATGACCATAATTATGGGGTTGATTTTTTTTTCCCAGTTAATAAATGAGGGGAAACATCTGAAAGCAATTCAAAGGCAGACTTAAAAAATAATGTGTTTAAAAGACTATTTAATTATGTGGGAATATGTTACAACACCACGCTAAATAAAAAGAGATACAGGAAAATGTGTATCCAAAATTATCCTTCTTCAGCAAATATATATATATATATATTTTTATATAATCATACATGCATAGATTAAGGTCTTGAAAGAAATAGATGTGGATATTAACAAGAACTCTGGGTGAGGAGACTGATTTCTATTTTCTTCCCTGTTTTCTCAAATGTTGTCAAAAAATGTTTACTTTTGACATCAGAAAAAGAAAGTTAAAAGATGGTGTACAAACTAATATAATCTAAAATAATACTTCCCAAATGTATTTTTCTGGGAATAGCAGTCAGTGATAGATACTCCTAAAAGAGAATGGAACAACCTCATCTTAATTTGCGTATACAGTTGCTGGTGGAGAAGGGAGCTGAAGTTTGACTTTGTAAAAGAAAAAATGGACTGCAGTAATCAAGAGAGAAATGAAGGAGACCAAGGGCAAGCGGAGAGAGGAAGGAGGTGCAGAGGCTGACTACTGATTTGCTTGGGTGGAGCTCAGATTTCAGACATGGAATGTACCAAGCCAGGGTGACTTCCAAGAGAGGACTTGGTAGAAAGTGGAGAAAGGGACGTGTGTTATCGAACGAAAGGGAAATTAAAACACTCCTCTGGGCACAGGAAAGGAACAGCATAGCTGGACTGCCTCTACTCACCCCTAACTTTCAGCCAGGGCTTGGCACAGTTTTCAGCACGTGTCAGCCTCTCCATTTTTCAGGAAGGTAAATGCAGGAAGATGTGGCATCTGAGAGACTGAGGCTGAGGCCACAATTATAGGGGAAACTGAACAAGCTGACATATACCAGTGAAGTCTTGCTGGCATCATGACCTTGGTGGAGAGCTTTGTTACTCAGATGAGGCCAGAAGATTCTGTAATTGAAAGTACTCTCTTGGGTCTTGACATATTTCTTGTGCAAATAGTAGGTTAAAAAAGGGATACTGATCTAATCATCATAAAATATTAGAATCACATGAGTTAAAAAACCTGCAGGAAGTAAAGAAACAGGGCCAGGCACATTGGTTTATGCCTGTAATCCCAGAACTTTGGGAGGCCGAAGAGGGTGGATTGCTTGAGCCCAGGAGTTCGAGACCAGCCCGGACAACATGGCAAAACCCTGTTTCTATAAAAAATAACAAAATTCACTGGGTGTGGTGGCGTACACCTGTAGTCCCATCTACTCAGGAGGCTGAGATGGGAGGATCACTTGAGCCTAGCAGGTTGAGGCTGCAGTGAGCTGTAACCATGCCACCGCGCTCTAGCCCGGGCAACAGAGTGAGACCCTGTCTCAAAAAAAAAAAATTAGATTCATAGAAAAAAGAAAACCCTACAATGCTCTAATTTAGTTATTTGTAATTTTATTTTCTTAGGGATCAAGATACTGGTGAGTAGGAAGTAGAAGAGTCCTGGCTAAATTTACAGAGGGAGATCAATCAGAAATGTTGATATATATTATTTGATGGGTCACTGACTTTACAAATCATCCTGTAAAATTTCTTTAGCCTCTTTCTGTACTTCAATATTCCCCTCTGTAAAAGAAAATTCAAATTATACTTGCCCCCATTATCCTTAAAAATAATGTAAGCATTAAGGTGCAATGCTGAAATAATAACATAAACATACCATGACATGTTCCTGCTTAGTATTCTTCGGAAAAAAATCTCTTACTCACTCACCTGTGGTGAGTAACAGTTTATTTTGGGTGAAGTAAAAAGCAGCAAAGATTTACTTATAGTAATTCCCCAGTACTACAAGGGTCACTTAATTGGCTCCTTATTTTTCCTCCTCCTCCAATCTATAAAACTCAAAATAAATTAAATGCTCATTACCAACTCCTATAGTGGTGAAATAAAGCAAGAAGTGTAATGATAACTCCATTAGTTTTCATCCTTACTAGTACCCATTTCAAAAGTCATATTGGGAAAGACAGTTGAAACGATAGACTAAAACAAGAAATATTAAATTACCTGTAAATTTCACCATACTTAACCAACAACCCTACCATTGGCGATCTTTACCTCCTGGTCCCTTGTGGTATAATAGTTAACTGCATTATGAGGGTAGGGGGGTGGATTTGGTCTCTAAGGAGAAGTAGAGGCCAGGTTTGGGGGACTTCTTTGTTGCTGTTTATAATAATGCAAATGAAGTAGTACCATCTGCATATTCCCAGAGAATATCTATATTAGTTTTAAAACTTCTGAAATGCATGTGTTTATTCAAAAACATTTATTAAGAGCTTAATATGTCCAGAGGAGTTATGCTAGGGGCTAGAAACACAAAGATAAATAACATAGTCTGCAATCTCAAGTAGCTCCCACTGTAAAATAAAAAAAAGCAAAAACTTCTAAAGCTTTTTCCTTTAATACTAAAATGATAGATTTCATTATATTTTTCGATAACGCTAAGTTAAAGAAGGTGATATAAAATCATCCATTATCTTTACCACCTAGAAATAACCACTTTTAATACTTTTTAACATTATATATGCATATATTTAAAAGGAATGATATTTGAAATATCTACTGTTTTGTAAACTGCTTTTTTTGCCCCAGGAACATTTTTCCATGCTAAAATTTCTGTGAATACCTACAAAATTGGTACTATAATTTATAGGTATCATAATTTATTTAAATATGTTTATTTCTAAACAGGCTGTGGAAAATGACCAAACACACACACATACACACACACACACACACACACACGCGCGTGAGGATTGTGGGATTGCGGCATCCAAGTAAGACTCACTTTTAATTTCATTTTCTGTGCTTCACCTGATCTAGGCAGCCACAGGTAAAGCCTTTGCTCTCTCTAAGTTTTGGTTGTCTCTGTGTGCCAGGAAGGAGCATGGAGGCCAATAACATCATGGTACTCTTTTTTGAGACCATAAGGCAGAGGAACCTGGGTGGAACATGCATTGCTAAAATGTACACATCCTCCTATGTAAGTTGACTTTGAATGCATGAGTGGGTCTAGTTTCCCTGACCTCAAGATGCTAAGAAGAAACTGTGACAGATGGACTGTAAGGCAGACCCCATAACCTCTGTGCTGATTTCCATGCCTTTATCGAATCCCCTCCTCTTGAGTGTATGTGGGACCTGTGATTTGCTTCTAACCAATAGATTATGGCAAAGGTGACAGGATGTATGGGATTATATATATGGGATTATATTACATAAGCATGTAATATCCATCTTGCACAGAGTCTTTCTCCCTTGCTGGCTTCAAGAAAACAAGCTACTGTTTGGAAGCATTCTTCAGCCTCCAGCTAGAAAGATACTGTGACCCTCAGTCCAACAGCCCACAGAGAACTGAATGCTGTCAACAACCACAAGAGCTTGGAAGCAGATCCTCTCTCAGTTGAACCTGTAGTTCTAGCTGATGCCTATTGTAGCTTTATGAGACCCTGAAGCTGACGACCCAGCTAAGCCGTGCCTGGACCCACAGAAACTATTAAACAATAAATACATGTTGTGTTAAGCCATGAAACTTGTAGTAATATTGTTACACAGCAGTGGACAACTAGAACAGATTTCAGTACCAGAAGTGGGGTGCTTCCATAACGAAAAACTAACAATGGAAAGTGACCCTTGCACTTATTTGCTTTGCAAACAAGCAGGGGATGGAGGCTGGAAGTATTTTGAGGAGAATGCTAAGGAAAGCCTGCCTTGTAAGTAGAAATCTAGACACAAAGGATGCTGCTAGTAAGGGCTCAAAAGGAAGTAAGGAGGTGATGAGTATAGTATTGGAAACTGGAGGAAGGGGGAATCTATGTCACAAAGTGGCAGAAAATTGTTGCCAGTAATTATGTGAAAAGCAGAGCATGCAATTGATGAACTTGGTTATTTAGCTGATGAGATTTCCAAGCAAAATGTTGAAGGTGTCTCCTGCCTTATTCTTGCTGCTTATAGCAAAATGTGAGAGGAGAGAGACAAACTGAGGGAAGAATGATTAAACAGAATGGAACCAGGACTTCATGATTTTGGTAAACAGAATGGAACCAGGACTTCATGATTTTGGAGACTCTCAGCGTTTCCAGATGGCAAAGATGTTAAGATAAAGAAATGGCTTCTGAGAACAGTTAGGACTGTAAGGTATGAAGATAAAGCTGAGGATGCTACTGTATCATCTTTTGTTAAGACCTCAGAAAGATCAGAGGATCAGAGAAGCATTCAGTCACACAAAGGACTTTCAAGAAATTAAGCATGTGCCTCATGGAACCTTTCCATCAAAACTGAGAGCCTCCAGGCAGCTTAAGAGTGTTGTCTTTCAGCCCTCTCATCAGGGACCTACAATTGAGGTCTCGACAAGGTCTGTGGATGTGATCTTTGCCTGATAGAGTGAAAACCAGGAAAATTCACAGGAAACCCACTAAGTATTTGAGGAAAGAGTATTTCAGCAAGACACTGCCAGCTTTGAAGGGACAAAGAGTACGAAATGAGAGGAGGATGTCAGTCCTTCCAAATCCTACTGGCAGGAAGCAGACCAATAAAACTATTCAGTTGCAAACACACGTTACCTTTCATGAAAAAAGGATGACTCAGAGGGTAGAACCAAGAATCCGATGGGTGGAGCCAAGTGCTACAAAGAATTATTCTCAAGCCTTGAAATCTAAAAAAGAAACTCCCAATATTTGCTTGATTGGATTTCAGAATTTCTACTCACAAGTCACTTATTTATATCTTTTATTTTGGCTCCTTTTGAATGGGAATGTTTATAGCTGTTATAATAGATCTATACCACCATTCTATGTTGGGTGTGGGGAGTGGGGACCAGATAACTTGCCTCTCATGGGAAACAGAACTTAATCTAATCTTCTGAGGAATGTTGATGGATATGACTAACCATATGTACTGTTAAGTAGACACAGTGCTCAAGATAACCCTAAGCAGTACTGATAGAGAATTATGAAAACAGGACATCAAGCCAGGCAATGGTGACTCATACCTGTAAACCCGGCATTTTGAAAGGCTGAAGTGGGCAGATCACTTGAACCCAGGAGTTGAGACCAGCCTGGGCAACATAGCAAAACCCCATCTCTACCAAAATAAAAACTAAAAAACAAAAATTAGCTGGGCTTGGTGATGTGTGCCTGTAGTCCCAGCTTACTAGGGAGGCTGAGGTGGGAGGATTGCTTGAACCCAGGAGGTTGAGGCTGCAGTGAGCCATGATCATGCCACTGCACTCCAGCCTGGGTGGCAGAGTGAGACCCTGTCTCCGAAAAAGGAAATAGGACATTAGAGTAAGCTTAATGTAACTACTGATGCTTGTTGAATAACTGATGAGTATTTACAAAGGTAGAGATGAGGTATAACAATTGTAGATTTAATTCTAGATAGGTAGAGCTGAAAATTCCCTAGAAATTTATAGCCACTCATGACTACCTGCATGCATGCATTTTGGATGTTTTTTGTGGATGCATGCGCTTTTGCTTGATAGTGAATTTAGCTAATTCTGTATTTATGAACTGGCATACTTTTGTGGATCTTGATTTCTTTTTCCCCCAACTTCTAGTTTTATAGACTCACAGATGGAGAGGAACCAGATCTAAAGAGCCTCACCTGCACCTGGATCTTATTTAGATTTTGAAATTCTGAATTCAAGCACACATTGCAGTGGGATGAGACTCTTAGGAACCTTAAGAGGGGTGAATATATTTTCATGTGGGAGAGGCATGAATCACTGGGAATCAGGGCAGACTGTGGCATATTGATTCTAAAAATGACCTCCGTAATCCCTGCCTCCTGGATTTAATCCCTTCCCTTGAGTGTAGGTGGGACCTGCGACTTGATTCAATCCACAGAATACAGCCTGCATGACAGAATATGTGTGATTACATGTAAGTGATTACATTACATATGATTGTAACATCAATCTTTCCAGGAGACTCTACTTTGCTGGCTTTGAGAAAACAAATGATTCTGGAAAGATTAATATGGCAAGGACCTAAGGAACTCCTTCAGCTAATACCCAGCAAGAAACAGAGGCCTTTAGTCCAATGGTCCACAAAGAAACAAATGCTACTAACAACCACATGAGCTCGGAAGCAGATCCTTCCCCAGTCGAGTCTCAGAAAAGCCTGCAGCCCAGATGACATCTTGATCACAATTTTGTGAGGCCCTAAGACAGAGGACTCAGTCTAGTTGTGTCTGGAATCCTGAACCTCAGAAACTGTGAAATAATAAGTTTATGTTGTTTTAAGCCAGCAAGTTTGTGATAATATTGTTACACAGCAAAAGAAAAAACTAATATAAAGTTTAACAATGCCTCGAGTGTTTACTGATCCTGTGACAAGGAAAGTAAGAAGAAACAGAACAGAAGACTTTGTCCATGATCCTTACTGGAATTGTTAACTTGCCTGCTTCTACACTGCCAACCACAGGAGTAGAGACAGCTTTAGCTTTCATTACATGAAAAGTACTGCCAACTTGGGTAATTCAATATAAGACCAGAGCCTTCAGGGAGCCAACAAAGAAAAATACATCTTATTTAAGGAGAACGACCAGTCAAAAAGAAGAATATAAGTCAAAACTAACAGAACATTTATTAATCAGGATAGAGTAGCTGAAAAAGATAGACAACATCTTGAATTGTAAAAAATAGTAAAAGTGAGCTAGGCATGGTGGCTTTTGCCTGTAATCAGCTACTTGGGGGCTGAGGTGGGAGGATCACTAGAGGCCAGGAGTTCAAGACCAGCCTGGACAACATAGAAAGACCCAGTCTCTGCAAAAATTTTTAAAAATTAGCCAGACGTGGTGGAGTGTGCCTGTGGTTCTAGCTACTCAGGAGGCTAAGGCAGGAGGATCCCTGGAGCTCAAGAGTTCGAAGCTGCAGTAAGCTATAATCACACTACTGTACTCCAGCCTGGGTGAGTGAGCAAACCCCAACTCTTAAAAAAAATAGTCAAAGAAGCCTCACTTTTAGTAATGGTGCAATAGCTTGATTGAACTTACTCTCTTGCAGATAAAAAATAGTAAAATCTTCACAAAATATAAAAAACTTAAGGTACTAAAGAATGACCCAAAGCAGTCAAACAGCGGTGAGAAGTGACCCTTGCACCAGTAAAGATCTTTTATTGTGATCTCAGATTTTTTTCTCATTTATTAATTCACTGCAAGAAGCCAGCTAGTCTCTGCTAAACCTCTAGGACTGGAGTTTGTTCATTCCCTCCCATGTCCTGGCCTTCCTTGAATCTTCTTTTCCTTATGGACCTAGGATCTCTATGTTCCTGCTTCATTGGCCAAATCCCTGGCCCTAGTAACATGGCCCTTGCCCCGACTGTGGTTGTTTTTTTCTTTTTTTCTTTTTTTTTTAAACTTAATGGTAATTTTATTTTCCTAACAGCTTTATTGAGATGTGATTCACATATGAAAATCATACATATTTGAGATGTACAGCTTGATGTTTTGGTATTGCAGCATGCTGTTCTTAACAACTCAAATGACAGCCATCTTTCTTTTCTACACATATGGCAACTTGGCCTCTGAGATCCACGATACCAAATTAGCACAGCTGACATGTATATCTGACAAATGACTGATATGCAGAATATTTAAGGAACTGCTTCAAATCAAAAAGAAAAGATAGACATTCAATAGAAAAAAATGGGCAAAAGACTTGAACAAGCACTTTTAAAAAGACAATATCTGAATGTGTTTAATAAACATGTAAGTATGTTCTCTGCATCATATTGAAGGTCAATGACCTATAAGACCTTACCTCTTTTATACCTCTTTGACTTCTTCCCCTATTGCTTTCTGCTCTTCTTATAACAGCTATAACTATAATTCCATCTACATCTCTTGGATGCTTGCTGATTTTCTTTTTCTTTCTTTCCTTTTTTTTTTGAGATGGAGTCTCACTCTGTTGCCTAGGCTAGAGTGCAGTAGTGCAATCTCGGTTCACTGCAACCTCTGCCTCCCGGATTCAACACCTCATACCTCATTCTCATACCTCATGCCACCTGATTCTCATACCTCAGCCACCTGAGTAGCTGGGATTACTGGTGTGTGCCACCACACCCAGCAAATTTTTTTCATATTTTTAGTAGAGACGGGGTTTCACCATGTTGGCCAGGCTGGTCTCGAACTCCTGACCTCAAGTGATCCACCTGCCTTAGCCTCTCAAAGTTCTGGGATTACAGGCATGAGCCACTGTGCCTGGTTCTGCTTGCTGTTTTTCCAAACACTAGACATGTTTTCACCTCAGGGCCTTTGAATTCACTGTTCCTTCTGTCTTCGATGCTCTTCCCTGAGATAATGTCATAGCTATCTCCTTTTTTCAAGTCTTTGCTCAAACATCACCTTTTTGGTGAACTCTTACCTGGAAGTCCCTCTAAAATTACTAACAACCCATTACCACCATCGGACACTCCTATATCCCTTCCCTTAGCACTCATTACCTAACATACTAACTGTGTTATTTATTTAGCTTGTTTACTACCTGTTTCTCCATCTAAAATGAGTGCCATGTGTGCATAGATTGGTGTCTGGGTTTTTTCCTTTTTGTTACTTCTGCAATATTTAGAACAGTGACTGACACATATCAGGCACTCAATAATTATTTGCTGAATTTCTCAATGTCTCGATTTGGCATAAGGATTTCATTTTCCCATGGTATATTTTCTTCTGTGGATTGATGGGCTAGTACTAATTTGCACGGGTGTCTTGGTGATTCACAATCATGATTTTAATGTCCCAGTCCCCTTTGGCTACAGGAGGTACTTGATCCTAGGTGACTAAGGCAGAAATAAATAGAATGTGTAGGACTCCTCTGGTGTAAAAAGTCATGGGTTCCAAAAGTTCATTTATAAGTCAATTGTTTGGACATCCTGAACTTATTTTCAGAACACGATTGGGCACAGCTAGTTAACTGCAGGGAGGCCTGAGGAGACTGGAAGGTGCCAGAACCTGGAACCAGATCTGCCCACTAGGACAGGACCAGCCCTGGAAGGACAGGAGCAGGTGCACTGGATTCTAAAGGTGTTCAGTGCAGCCGGCAGGGGACATTGCCCTGAAGGCAAGATTACAGGCAGCAGTCAGCATTAGAGAGGGCCCAGAGGAAATGGGGAGACCCTATTGGGAAGCAGAGTCTAGCAACTGGCAATGTAGGAGTAGTGATGGGCTGTTTACCAAAAACATCATTAGTGCAATAGTAACTGCAAAACAGAGAAAATATTTGTAATTCATATGTATCTGACAAATGACTCATATGCAGAATATTTAAGGAACTGCTTCAAATCAAAAAGAAAAAATAGACATTCAATAGAAAAAAATAACAAAAGACTTGAACAAGCACTTTTAAAGAGACAATATCTGAATGTGTCTAATAAACATATAAGTATGTTCTCCACAGCATTTGTAACCAGTCAAATGAAAGCCACAGTGAGATTTCACTACACACCCACCAGAATGGCTAATATTAAAAAGACAGGCAATACCAAATGTTGGTAAAGATGTGGAACAACTGACATTTTGTTATACTGCTGGTGGAAGTACAAATTGGTACAAATATTCTGTAAAATTATTGTTTTCTCATTACTGAAACTCTCAGGTATGCTATATACTCAACAGAAATGTTGAGAAATGTGTGCGTACGAACACCGAAAGGCATGTTTGAGAATGTCCATAGCAGCATATTTTGTAATAGCATAATCTGCTTCCGATGCAGATGTTTATCAACAGAAGAATAAACATATACATTGTGAAACTGTCATACAGTGGAATACTATTCAGCAATGAGAACAAACAAACCATTGCAACGCACAGCAATATGACAGACTCTTACAAGCCTAATATCAAGCAATAGATGTCAGATGCAAAGGAATACAAATAGCACGATTCTATCTATATAAAATTCAAACCCAGTAAGAATTAATCTATAATGAAGGGAATAATTTGTGCAGCAGAGATAGGTAGTTACTGGGAGGAGGCATAAGGGTTTCTGGGGTCACGGGAATGTTCTGTTTCTTGATTTGGGCAGTAAATACACAGGTATGTTCATTTTGTGAAAACCATCAGGCTATAAACTATATATACTTTTCTGTATGTATGCTGTATTATAGTAGAATATGCACTTAATTTTTTTAAAAGGCAAGAAGTCATGGGATCAGCAGTACGAAGCATCTTGGCATGTAGCATGACCCAAAATCCAAGCAGGGGTCAGGAGTTAGAAGCCACTTCAGGTAAGGGAGACTGATGAGAGTTATGCAATACCACAACCCAGGAAGAGTTTGGGAGTTACATAGACAGGTTTTAGCCCAGACCATCTGAGCTGGTCGGGCTCAGTCTGCCACTTACTACCATGAGCCACCTAACCAACCTCTCTGGATCTCAGTTTTCTCATTTGCAAAATGAAGGTAATATGAAACTCTCCAGGTTTGCTTGGTACAGAGAACAAGTTTAACAAATATTTGCTATTAATAATAATAGTCATTTTACCTCAGCAGGTGCAAGAAGGAGATTTAGTTACTGCCCCTGCAGTATAGAGTTCAAGCTTTGGGTCTCAGGAACAATATAGAAACCCGCTAATGTGAACCAGGGGTCAAAGTCAGAGCTGAACACATATTAAAAGGCACTCAAGTGACTTCCTGAGTCCTGGGCTAGAAATGTTCAAAATTCTGTAGGACAAATCTGCATCACGCGAGGAGAGAGAAGAGATGCAGAGAGTGGGCTGGACCCGACAGAGTAGTTTGTCCCACAAATATGACTGCTGACAATTTCTCCTATCTGTGCATACTCCAGGAGATGGAGTCTAGTTTCCCCCTCCTTGAAAGAATGTTGGCCCTGGGAGGCACTTTGAACAGTAGAGTGAAAATAGCAATGATGCTATCTATACCTGGCAGTTTTTGCTTTGCTTCCTTGGAAACTGGTGGTCATACTGTAAGGAAGTCCATGCTATTCTGCTGGAAAAAGAGGCCACGTGGAGAGGACATGGAGGATGTAATACCACATGGAGAGAGAGGCCATGAGGAGGAGAAACAAGGCACCCCTGCTGAAGATTGAATCAAGGTCCCAGATGTATGAGAGAGACCTTTCTTCCAGAAAAGCCCAGCCACCTGCTGAATTCAGTCACGTGGGTGAGCCTTGGCCAACAACTGGTAGAGTGGAAGAGTTGCCCACTCAACCCCACAGAACTGTGAGAAAAAATAAGTGATTTTTGTTTTAAGTTCTGGATTGGTTTGTTATGCATTGATAGATAACTGATACTGCTTTGGGAGACTGAGGCAGGAAGGATCACTTGAGCCCAGGAGTTCGAGATCAGACTGGGGAACAAAAATAAATAAATAAATTAGCTTGGCATGGTGGTGCACACCTGTACTTGGGAGACTGAGGTGGGAGGGTCACTTGAGTCCAGGAGTTTGAGGTTACAGTGAGCTATGATCATGCCTCTGCACTCCAGCTGATTGAGTGAGACACTATCTCTTGAAAAAATAATGGCAGCTGGTACCAAAATGGGTACCCCAAAGTTGGGTGCTGTCATATAACAAAAACCTAATATGTGTGTCATTGGCTATAGGATCAGGGAGATGGAGGCCAGAGAAGTGATAGGAATACAGAAGTGGAGGCTGGAAGAACAATGAAGAAACTCCATGGGAAGCTGGAGGAAGGGCCACAAGCGCTATAGGTGGCACTAAGTTAACATGCTAAGTTAAACATGGGCCCGTGTACTTGTGGGTTTGCCAAGGAGATTTTCCAGCAAATTATGAAAAGTGCCAATTCATTTATCTTAACTCACTGCCTGTGATAAGGTAAGGGAAGAGAGAGATGAGCTAAAGAAGGAACTGTGCAGTTTTCAAGCAAACGTTAGAGGATGTATTTCCAACCCAGGATTTATTGGTTTGGAAAATAAAACCACTTTCTCATTCTCAGCATCTCCAGCTGGAAAAAGGTTTTATTGTTTGTTTGCTTTTTTTTTTTTTTTTTTTTTTTTGAGACAGAGTCTTGCTCTGTCATCCAGGCTGGAGCGCAGTGGCGTGATTTTGGCTCACTACAACCTCCACCTCCCCAGTTCAAGCAATTTTTGTGCCTCAGCCTCCCGAGTAGCTGGCATTATAGGCACATACCACCAGGCCCTGCTAATTTTTGTATTTGTAGTAGAGACGGGGTTTCACCATGTTGGCCAGGCTGGTCTGGAGCTCCTGACCTCATGCGATTGCCTGCCTCGGCCTCCCACAGTGCTGGGATTACAGGCGTGAGCCACCCACTGCACTGGGCCCTGAAAAAAGATTCTTGAAGTAAGAAATAGTCTCGGGGAAAAGATCAAATCCAGGATGCGACTAGTGTAACAGGGCCTTGGAGCAAGATTAAAACAAAGTGTCCCTATAAGACTCTTTGTCAAGGTCACATAAAAATTTAAAGTGGCTTCACAGATCCTTTCTCCTATGCTTCTGAGAACCTTTGGAACATTGTTCCACAGTACCCTGACTTGTAGCCCTAAGTGGAAAGGAGCTTATCTTGAAGATAATTGTGATTGTGGCTTTTGTTTATGGAAATGGATTGGAATTTGATAAAAGACTTTAAAGGAGTTGTACCAAGTTGGACTCAAGGGAAGCAGAAAGAGTTCAAAATGCAAAGAGACTTTGGGACTCCCGCTCCCTTTGGTCAAAAGCAGAACCAGGTGCAAACATTACTCAGTCACTATGGAAAGGGGCAGCAACACAGGGCAGACTCAAGAGCTCAGATGGTGGAACCAAGAACAATGGAGAATACTAGATCAGGAAACCGAAGCCAGAGAGCAGTAACCTGTAAACAAGGACCCTAAGCGAGGAGCTTTCTGTGTCTTCCTGCCCTTGACTCTGGAGTCAAGGGAACTCATGATACGTGTTTGGTTGATTTCCTAACTGCTATGAAACAGTCACTGCTATGGACCAGAGATAGCAGCTACCCCTGTCTCACCCTTAGATGTTGGGTGGAGGAGAGGTAGATACTCAGGTAATTCGCAGGTATCGAGAGCCAGAGGCCTCACCTTTGAGGAGACTTTTCTACATTTGGACCTGATGCAGATCACAAGAAACTGGACTTCAACTCATGCGCCATAATTGGATGAGTCTTTGAGAAGTATTGGGAGAGGAGTTTATTTTGACTAATAGTGAGTAATAGGTGTAGTAGAAGTGACATTCTAGGACTTCTGTTCCCAGACATTGTAGCTTCTGTTTTCATCTTTTTGCATTCCAGTTGCCGTGAAAAGGAGTTCAGGATAGACTACGAAATCACGAGAAACCACACAGAAGTGGAAGGCCCAGTGAGCCTCCAGCCATTGCAGCCACCTTGGCTGAGGTGCCAGGTATGTTAGGGAAGCTGTCTTTGCTGTTCCAGCCCCAGTGAAGCTGCCAGCTGAATGTAGCTGCAAGTATGACCTCAGTCAACACTGCGAGAAGCAGAGTCAAGGTATCCCCACCAAGTCCTGAGCAACTGCAAAATCATGAGTAAATAAATGGGGACAGTTGTTTCAAATCACTAATTTTGGGGGTGATTTTTATACAGCAAAGGATAACTGACACTAGCCAGCACACAGAAGATGATGAAGTTTTCATGTTCCACATTACAATTCACAATCCTAAAAGATCTGTTCTCCTGCCTGCTATTTTTACCTCATCTGGTGTTCCCTGAACCAGCTTGGGGTTTCATAACAAAATACCATAGACTGGGTGGCTTAAACACAGAATTTTACTTTCTCACAGTTCTAGAGGCTGGAAAGTCCAATATTAAGTTTCCAGCAATGGTTGGTTTCTTCCTGCTGGCCACTCCCTGATGTCCTTTCTTTTTCTTTCTTTCTCTTTCTTTCTTCTTTCTTTCTTTCTTTCTTTCTTTCTTTCTTTCTTTCTTTCTTTCTTTCTTTCTTTCTTTCTTTCCTGCTTTCTTTCTTTCTTTCTTTTCTTTCTTCTTTCTTTCTTTCCTTCTTTCTTTCTTTCTTCCTTTCTTTTTCTTTCTTTCTCTTTCTCTCTCTTTCCTTCTTTCTTTCTTTCTTTCTTTCCCCTCCCCTGGCCTCCCCTCCCCTCCCCTTCCTTCCTTCTTTCTTCTTTCTTTCTTTCCTTCTTTCCTTCTTCCTTCCTTCCTTCCTTCCTCTCTCTCTCTCTCTCTCTCTTTCTTTCTGTCTTTCTTTCTTTCTTTCTTTCTTTCTTTCTTTCTTTCTTTCTTTCTTTCTTTCTTTCTTTCTTTCTTTCTTTCTTTCTTTCTCTTTCTTTTTCTTTCAGACAGAGTCACACTCCAGCCTGGGCGACAGAGTGAGACTCCACCATGCCCAGCCCTGATGTCTTTTCTTATAAGGGCACTAATTGCATCATGAAAGCCCCACCCTCAGGCCAAGTGCGGTGGCTCACACCTGTAATCTCAGCACTTTGGGAGGCCGAGGTGGGAGGATCACAAGGTCAGGAGTTCAAGACCAGCCTGGCTAATATGGTGACACCCTGTCTCTACTAAAAATACAAAAATTAGCCGAGCGTGGTGGTGCACACCTGTAGTCCCAGCTACTTGGGAGGCTGAGGCAGAAGAATCGTTTGAACCCGGGAGGCGGAGGTTGCAGTGAGCCAAGATCGTGCCACTGCACTCCAGCCTGGGCAACAGAGCGAGACTCTGTCTCAAAAACAAACAAACAAAAAAACAAGAGCCCCACTCTCATGACGTCATCTAAGCCTAAGCACCTCCCAAAGCTCCCATCTCTAAATACCATCACATTGGAGGTTAAGGCTTCAACATATGAATTTTGGGTTGGATACAATTCACTCCATAACATTCCCTTTCTTACTTTTGTCCAGTAACATTGACTCTTCTGTTTCTCAAACATGACAATCTTGTTCATACCTTGGGCTGTGCAATTGCCGTTCCCCCTCTAGAATATGGTGCCTCCCAGATATTCACTGGCTCCTGATTATCCAGCCTCAGAGTAAATCCTACTAATATTTCCTTGGAATGGCCTTCTGTCACCACTCAATGGGAAGTATGTCACCTAAACACTCTATCACATCACCCTGTAGTACTTCGATCACAGAATTTGAGACTCTCTGAAATAATCTTATTCATTTATTTGTTTGCTTGCTTGTTTGTCCATCCCCCACCTGCAGTGTCCGTGACTGTGGGTACCTTGTCACTCTTACAGCTGTATCTGTGGTATCTAGAATAGTTCCCAGCACATGGTAGGTATACTTTTTTTTAATTTAATGAATAATCTACAACATGCCTATATTGTGGAACTGATAAATGATGTCATATACTTACCTCTATTCATCAAACACTTATTTTACCAAACACTAGTTCACTAGGAATTTAAAATGAAGCAGACATGTCCTTTGACTTTCCAATAACTCCCTGTGGATGTATATTGTGCATAGAGGAGGGAAGAGCATAAACAAAAACTTTCCTACTGTGGGATAAATGCACTAATAGGAGGGTACATGAGAAGTATGGAAACGCGGGCTTGGGGTGCAGTGAATTCTACCTGGAGGGAGAGGGAGAAGCAGGTCCTGGAGAGCCACAAAGGACATTTTAGCTACTCCTTGAAGAATGAGTTTCTAGCAAATGGGTAAGGAGGTGAAGGGCAAGGATTGCACACAAAAGAAATAGCATAGTGGAAGAAATGCAAGTGCCCACTGACAGGTGAATGGATGAACAAAATATGGCACAGTTGTCCCTAGGTATCTGCAGAGAAATGGTCCCAAGACCCACATGGATACTGAAGTCCACAGATGCTCAAGTCCTTTATACAAAGTGGTGTAGTATTTGCAGGCCAGGCACTGTGGCTCATGCCTGTAATCCCAGCACTTTGGGAGGCCAAGGTGGGCAGATCACCAGAGGTCAGGGGTTCGAGACAAACCTGGCCAACATGCCGAAACCCCGTCTCTACTAAAAATACAAAAATTAGCCAGGTGTGGTAGTGCATGCCTATAGTCACAGCTACTCAGGAGGCTGAGACAGGAGAATCACTTGAACCCAGAAGGTGGAGGTTTCAGCCTGGGCGACAGAGCGAGACTCCATCTCAAAAAGAAAAAAAAGGTTACGATGGTAACTTTTTTGTTATATGTATTTTACCACAATTAAAAAGTTGAAAAATAACAGAACTAGCATGAACAAAAATATAAATGGTGTAGTGGCCTGGATGCAGGGAGGGCACAAGAAGGAGAGAGAGCAGGAGATGTGGCTGGAGGGAAGAACAGAGCTGGGTTGTAACGGGCCTATGTATCATCATAAATTTGCACTTTATTCAATAGCTATTGTGGAAATGGGAGCAAAACCCACTTTGACAGAGTCCTAACTCTGGACGTGGAGGACCTATGTCTCCACAGCTGCAGTCCTACAACCCAGATTACAAACTTCCCAGGTCTATACCACCAGTAAGGATCCTATGGCCAGGGGCAGAGGTTATTGAGCCTTGGAGGCTGGGAAGAGGTAGGAAGCAAGGATTGGGGATCCTAAAGAGGAAAGGACTAGGGAAGAAGCTGTTGGAATGGAGAGGGTATGGGAACCGATGGGGCAGGGCGAAGGGTATGTTGATCCCTTCGTGTAGCTCAGAGGGTCAGGAGCAGGGAGGGCAGCTCAGGGCTCCACTGTCTTCAGATCAATCATTTTCCCATCTCCCTCCTACTCTCCTCACCACGGACATGCTGGGGGAGTGAGGTGGTAGGGACAGGAGGGAGACGCAGTGGCGGAAACCAAGACGAGGGTCTTTCCATCCTTCTCTTTCGTCCATACTCAAAACTATGGACTAGTATTGGGGTGAAAGGAGCAGTGGGAATGGAGTGAGGAGGAGGAGATGGAAAGTCTCTCTCTCTCTCTCTCTCTTAGTCTCTCTCTCTCTCTCTTAGTCTCTTTCTCTCTCCTCCCTTCTTCCACTGAAGGTCCTATTTCCATCAGATACTGATACTAGAACTGCGAAGGGTGGTGGGGGTGGTAATGTGGTAGATAGACCCGGCTAGACTCAGACATGATATTACGCAGTGATGCTTCTGCAACAGCCAAGGAACAAGGGAAGAAGAGGGAAAGCATGCATGTGTGCATGCGTGTGTGTTTGTGTGTGTGTGTACACCTCCAGTGTTACAGAGTGAGGCAAAGGGAATCCCTGTAATCACCCGGCTGTGGACAAGATAAGTGACCAGCATAAATAAACATACTGCAGTCAGTACGTGACAGGAGCCTCCTCGCCCATGGAGGCATGACACACAGCAAGGCAGGTGGCCTGGCATATAGTTTGTTCTATCTACCAAGGTGACTCCCTAGGCTCGGTGCCAAGTGCCGAAGAACCCTACAAGAGTGCTATTGGTCTTTGGTGGAAAGAATAGCTACCACAAGGCAAGGCCAAGACAGAGTCGATTGGAGAAAAGCAGGCTAGTCCTTTGCTGGTAAGCTTGCCTTTTTAACTTTTTTTTTTTTTCTTTGAGAGGGGGTCTCACTCTGTCGCCCAGGCTGGAGTGCAGTGGCATGATCTCGGCTCACTGCAACCTCTTCCTCCCAGGCTCACGTGATCTCCCGTTTCAGCCACCCAAGTAGCTGGGACTACAGGCACACACCCCCATACCCAGCTAATTTTCTGTATTTTTAGTAGAGACAGGGTTTTGCCATGTTGCCCAGGCTGGCCGCAAACTCCTGAGCTCAAGCAATCTGCCTGCCTCGGCCTCCCAGAGTGCTAGGATTACAGGTGTGAGCCACAGTGCCCAGCCTTAATTTTTTTTTAATCAAGAATATTTGAGAAAATATTTCAAATTTGCCTTTAAGCCTTTTGCTGAACTTCAAGAAAAGTTCTACCTCTATGCATAACTTTTCCAAAACAACGCAAACCAAAAAGATTTTGAGTGGCACATTTGCCTTCTTCACCAAAGCCCCGTTCCATCATTATTAGAAGTAACTGTTTAAATTCAATTTTTGGCAGGGCGCGGTGGCTCACGCCTGTAATCCCAGCACTTTACGAGGTCGAGGCGGATGGATCACCTGAGGTCAGGAATTCGAGACCAGACAGACCAACATAGTGAAATCCCGTCTCTACTGAAAATACAAAAATTAGCCGGGTGTGGGTGGCAGGCTCCTGTAAGTCCCAGCTACTCAGGAGGTTGAGACAGGAGAATCGCTTGAACCTGGGAGGTGGAGGTTGCAGCGAGCCCAGATTGTGTCACTGAACTCCAGCCTGGGTGACAAGAGCGAGACTCCGTTTCAAAAAGAAATAAAAAAAAATTAATTAATTAAATTTAATTTTTAATTGAGTCAGTTTAATTGTCAAAACCTTATAAATAAACAGCACTTCAAGCAAAATAGCACTTGTATATATTTTTAAAGATTCAAAATACAAAAATGATTCATTGGGTTATACAACACCAATAGTTTTTCATTGAATGAAAACGTGAGAGCACTACCTTGAAGGAATCTTGTCTTTAGTCATGTTCTCATCACAATCAGCATGTCTCACTGACGATTGATTGTCAGAGTCAATGGCAAAGTAAACTCCTCACTATATCCTTGACTCTATGGATTTTGCATTTGTCCTCCCTACCTCCCCAGACCCAAGACAAGTTGGAGGGAATGGAGTGGAAGACTAATCATTTAATTACAATCACAAGTCACTAAACAGTAAGCCACAGCTTCCTGCTGTCTAGCTGCTATTTCTGTAGAATTTGCTGTGAAATAGATGGAATTGTGTACTGACTTTTAAAAAGCATCTGATAAAAATACCATTCATTCAATTACATAAGGAGCCATAAGATAAGCTTGAAAATAGAGTTTATTAAATTTTTGAGGTGCGGTGGCTCATCCCTGTAATTCCGCTGCTTCGGGAGGCCAAGGCAAGAGGATCACTTGAGGCCAGGAGTTTGAGACCAGCCTGGGCAACATAGTAAGACCCTGTCTCTACCAAAAAATCAAAATAAAAAAGTGTGGTGGCGTGTGCCTGCAGTCCCAGCTACTCCAGAGGCTGAGGTGGGAGGATCACTTGAGCCTAGGAGTTCAAGGCTACAGTGAGCTGTGATCACACCACCACAGTCCAGCCTGGTGACAGAGCAAGACCCTGACTCTAAAGCAACAAACTTTTTTTTTTTTTAAGACGGAGTCTTGCTCTATCACCCAGGCTGGATTTGGGAGGCCAAGGTGGGCAGATCACCTGAGGTCAGGAGTTCAAGACAAGCCTGGCCAACATGGTGAAACCCTGTCTCTACTAAAAATACAAAATTAGCTGGGCATGGTGGTGCGTGCCTGTAATCTCAGCTACTTGGGAGGCTGAGGCTGGAGAATAGCTTGAACCCGGGAGGCAGAGGTTGTAATGAGTCAAGATCTCGCCACTGCTCTCCAGCCTGGGTGACAAGAGTGAAACTCTGTCTCAATAAATAAATAAGTAAAAATAAAAAATTAAGCAAAAAAAAAAAGAAAGAAAAAAAAGAAAAAAAAAGTTCTGGAATCCTGCCCCTGCTTTCAGAATTCTGGGGGAAAATGTTCTAGAAGGGTATTCCTGTACAACCTCCATAAAAATAGCCCTGCTCACATGTATGTAGCTCATTCATCCATGCATCACCTACATAATGAATGGAACCATGGCAGCTACTGTGAGACAGGCAGGTGTATAAACATACATTTATATGTGTACACATAAAATGACTCATCACATATATGTCCTTGCCTACTAGCTTAT